>NC_000006.12:118404123-118707153 GCF_000001405.40 Homo sapiens
CCAAATAGCAAATGAAGATTTAGTAGGAATAATCACCTGAATCTTTCAAATCCTTGATGGTGGCATTAATCTCTGCAATCATTCTAAGAATACAATATTACTGTTGGTTTGCTAATTTGGTGGGTAGAGGCAGTTTTAGTAGCATCTGTTTAGCCTTTCCTACCATAACAGCTCTTACCTCAAAGGATACAGAACCAACTTTGGGCTTCTGTCAGTTTCTGAATATGTCTATTCCAACAGTGCAATCTAGAACTGGAAAATTAATCACAAGGTAGGTTCAGGAACTCATTGAACCCACTTCCAGATTGACACAAGCCAAAAGCTCATTTATCACTTGACTTCATTTAACCCTATTCTGACTGGTGGACTGCAGTAGCATTTTGTTTCTCCAGGAATTAGTGTCAATTCAGAATCAGAACCACAAAGTCTGATTATTCTTCTTTTGCCAATGCACAATTATCCTGGGAAATGACTATAGGTCCCTTTTGACAAGGCTAAGAGGAGTATTATAATATAAATATTGCCTGTGTAACGAGTTTTTTCTCAAAGGAATTCCATATACAAAGATCCTTCATTTAAGGGATCCTTCATTCAAGGGACTTTTTATCTGTCAAGAGAATAAAGTCTGAGGATTGGTTGAGAGTATATTGACTCTCTATTATGGCGTTTCAGATCAGACTTGTTTACCAGACCTAGAGCTACTTTTCAAATCGAGTAAGACTTTACTAGGATGTCTATCTACTGCAGTTCTAAGGATATCATGATCAGATACCAATACCAAAGATTTCTACAGCTCAGACCATTCTCACAGCTACTTCAGCTCTGCTGTCCATTAAGTGCTACCACTTGGCCCATGCCATTCCTGGATGCTGTCATTCTCATTGAATTCAGTTATTGGCAGTACTTTCTGCTGTCATTTCTGGACTACAGAAAATAGCCACCACAGAGCTTTCTAGTGATGCTGTGGCTCACTTCACAAATGCATTTCTTAAAGCCTTGATTGAGGAAGCATCCTTGGGACACTTCTAGGGGTGTGGGCATGAATTATGGCATGAACAAGCAGACCTTTGATGGTCGATTCATTCTAGCATCCTAGGGTCGCTAAGCCTTTGTATATCTTCTAAAGGGTTTCATGAAAGCTCTGGCATTTAAACTTTATTTAATGTAAGGGACCCTCTGGGTGGAGGTTTCTGTCAACAAACTGATCAAACTATTAGAGCCCCTCTCAACCATTTGAACTAAGTCAGGAAATCCAAAATCTTGGTTTGGTAAACCTATATCAACAAACTCCTTCCAAACTAACATATGCCTTCACCCTGATCCAGTACCTGTAGCATCAATGCCCAGTTTCTGAGGTTTCTGGTGGTATAAGTTGGCAAAATCTTGCTATCTTTTTTACATGTTGATTGTATCTTCTTATAGGGCACACTTTATATCTTACTACCTGGGGCATGGCAAAAATTTAGTCCTATCATAGGTCAAGAAACAATGAGATGTGGTAGAGGTATGTCCTACAGAAGATTAGCAGTCTCCTCAAAGAAGGTCAGTACTGCTTCCTTCAGCAAGGGAGCCATCCTCATCAGACAGAAGAGAGAGGTATAACTTCTGCTGGCAAAAAAGGTTTCGTGGAATTTATGGGTTGAAGGTCCTCAACTTCCATAGAATCAGCATAAATGTCCCAATCAAATTTTTAGGGCCCCACTCCTTCCCAGTCAATGGCCTAACTTTAACATAGACATCTGGTGAGGTTGAGAATTCAATTTGCCTTGTAATTCAGCCATTTATCATTAAACTTGGTTTTCCAAATCTTGGTCCCATGGTCACAAGACATTTCTGTTAGGGCATTATTATAATCTTCACAGTTGTTTGCCTATATATCGAGCTGATAATTTAAAGCCATGAACTGATCATTTTCCCCCCAAGTTTTCTATTGCACTTAAAGGCAAACAATCAAAACCCTTACATCCTTATTGTCACTAAAAGTATTTTATGAAAGCAACTACTTTGTCATCCAAAGCCTTGTCTTCTATAGACAGTTCACAAATGAAATTTAAGTATCTATATTCTCACTGCATGCCATGAACTACCAGTGTCTCTTTACCATTGGAAAAAGGGTCATTTTAAATGTTTCAGATCTGAGAACCTATTCCAGGTAGCCTAGAACCAATTCAGAGAATCCATCCTTTGGGTTCTGTTCCCCTGGAACTACTTCCAACACCAAATTCAGTATCAATCAAGGTTTGATCCAAGAAGTGGAACCATGAAGAGTGACATAGTAGAATAAGGAACTTACTGTAGGGAATACATGTTATACTTTGTGTCTGGTGATGGGCCTTCAATAGCTTTAAATCAGCCAGGCTGGCAGTCAAAGGGAAGAGCTAGCCATGAAGTGGGCAAGAGCAAAAACAAACTGGAGTGCACAAGGAGGAAATAGAATCCATGAGAACAAACTGGAACTCATGAAAAACTAGAGCCTGAGTCTGTCTCTAACTGACTCCATAATCCATACAGCATATAACCTGCAGGTGAAGCTGGTACCTTTATCATGGAGCTTCAACACACCTGGCTCCAGTCTCAAGTCAAAAAACGAGGACCCTCAGGAGCTGAAGCTACCACAATCCTGAGTGCTGTTCCACACCAACAAGGCAAGTGAGCCCTTCAGTGAGGCATGTGCAAGCTGCCACAGGCCAAACACCCAACACCAATCTTCAGATCATAAAACAGATGTTGGGTGAGAGTGGCCAAGATGGCCAACTAGAAGCAGCTAGTGTACATGGCTTACATGGAGAGGAATGGGAGAGGAAAGTAAATATAGCACCTTTGACTGAAACATCCAGGTACTCATATTGGGACTAATCAAGGAAACAACTCAACCCATAGAGAACAGAGAAAAGCAAAGCAGAACAACAGCCCACCTGGGAGTGACATGGAGCCAAGGGAAACTCCCCTGCCCAGGGAAGTGGTGAGTGAATGTGCGACCCCAGCTTCTCCCATGGATCTTTGCAAGCCTCAGATCAGGAGATGCCCTCATGAACCCACTCCACCAGGGCCTTCAGTCTGACACACAGAGATACATGGTGTCTCAGCAGAGCAGTTGCCCAGGCACACATGGAGATCTGGGAGCTTTACATACTCTGGCTTTCCCGGCTTCCCAGCAAAAGTAGCTGCAACTCTAGCAAAGTGGGAGGTTAGACCTCCATAAATACCCCTAGGAAATAAGCTGAATCCAGGGGGCCAAACAGTGACAGTCTGTGGGCCCCACTTCCACAGTGCCTCACAGGTTAAGACCCACTTACTTGGAATTCCAAGCAGCCACTGGTAGCAGTGTTGTGCCTCCCCCCGTCAGTGTTCTCTGGCCTGCAGGAGACTTGAAAACTCCCTGGGACAGAGCTCCTAGGATGAGGGGCAAGAATCCATCTTTGCTGTTAGGGCAACTAAGCAGTTTCAGCCTTTGGGCTTTGGAGAGTCCAAGCTGACCAGGGGTGGAAGTGGTACCCTAGCACAGCACATCTGCTCTACGGAAACATGGCCAGACTACTTTTTAAAGTGGGCCCCTGATCTCATTCCTCCTTACTGGGTGGGGGGTCTCCAGCCACCTCTTACAGATGCATTCAGATGAGCAACAGGTCAGTACCTCCCTGGTACAGAGCTCCCAGATGGAGAAGCAGGCTGCCTTCTTTCTGTTTTGCAGCCTTCACTGGTGATACCTCCAGGTACTGGAACATCTGAGGTGACTAGGGACTGGAGCAGATCCCCAGCATGCCACAGCAGTCCTACGGAAAGGAGGCCAGACTGTTACCTGGGTGCCCATTCCCATATCTCCTCACGAGGTAGGTCCTCCAGGTCTGGGCCTCTAGCCACCTCCCACCAGAGCTGTTGAGCCAGTAGCAACTCGGCAAGTCCCTGGACAGAGCCTCCAGGAACAACTGAAACCTCTCTGCCACTGCCTCTTCAGTGGAGCTGTCCTTGCTACCCTTGGGCTGAGTAAGAAGCATATCATTACCATAAGTGCCTTATCTACACCTCCAAAAAGCTGCCATCCACCCAAAGAGAGGAGTCCAGTCTGTCTCCGACATGTGCCACACCTCCCCCCGCAAGTGCTCATCACCAGACAGGGAGCTTCTAGCCTGGGCTCACAACATAGACCCTCCATCCTGGGATGATTGCACTGAACAATTGCTGACCCACATCTCTCTGGGGTGGAGACCCCAGGAGACAAGCAAATGTGGGGCAGCAAGCCAGCTAATGTGGAGCCCAGAGGGTTTGGTGTGGCAGCATCTGTAGCAGAGCGTGGCCAGGGATGGTCATTCCTCTAGGCTAGACTTGCTCCCATGAGACTTTAGCCATAGAGGAACTGCCAGACCTGATCTCTGCAGGGTGGTCTTTCACATCAGACAAGGTTGGTCCAACCTGAGCACTCCTCGGTCTGTTGGCCTCTCCTGGCATGCCTGCTTACAAGGCAGTCTTGGGTGCCTTGGGATTCTATACCATAACTTCTGCACCAGTGGACCACTGGTGAAGAGCTCCAGCAAGGCAGCCCCTACAGCTGCACACCAGCCTGCACATTCCCTCCCCATACTTCAGCTTCCCCTGAGCCCATGGCAACTCCCCACATCACTTTGCTGGTGCATGTCTTCACTGGTGAGTTTTCTTTACTTGCCCCACCAGCATGCAGGAGTGCAGTATGCCCCCCTACCCCTGCTGACCACCATTACAGACAGAGCCTCGGCAGGCACAGGGCCTGCAAGCCCCACCACCACCAGTGCCCCACCTTTACGCTAATGCTATGCAGAGAAAAGAGGATCCTCTCATACCTTGAGTGATCACTCATGCTTTCAGGGCACAGAGAAGGCACCCAGACCTGTGCTGGCCAGCACCCTGCCCCAAGCCAACACCACCTCCAGTGCAACATTGCTCACTGTCTCCAGCAGGGGCCCCCACTTCCCCCCAGCTGCCTTGCCTCTGCCACTGTGGTGAATGACCGCAGGGAGGCAGGCACCCTTGCATCTGCTAGCACTGCTGCCACACCTTGATACCCCCAGTGCAGTAGACCTGATACCTCGAGGAGCCGGAGAACAAAGTTGGGGACCAATAGAAGTCACCCAGAGGTAGCGCACACAGTCCAGGAGTTGGGAGTTGAGTGTTGGCCCCCTAAAATCTCTCAGAAATGAAGTCAGTTAGCTGAATCCACCTTTTTCTACAATCAAACCCTCAAGGTTATCAAATAGGATAAAACAAAAGAAAACATTCCAAAGGTCAGCAACCTCAAAGACTGAAGATAGTTAAGCCCACAAAGATAAGAAAGACATAGTGGAAGGATGCTGAAAAAGGCCAGAGTGCCTCTTTCCTCCAAATGACCACATCACATCTCCAGCAAGGGTTTGGAAACAAGCCAGAAGAGATTATGGATCAATATTCAACATCCTTAAAGAAAAGAAATTCCGGCTGGGCACGGTGGCTAATGCCTGTAATCCCAGCACTTTGGGAGGCTGAGGTGGGCAGATCACCTGAGGCCAGGAGTTTGCCACCAGCCTGATCAACATGGAGAAACCCCATCTCTACTAAAAATACAAAATTAGCCAGGTGTGGTGGCACACACCTGTAATCCCAGCTACTTGGGAGGCTGAGGCAGGAGAATCGCTTGAACCCAGGAGGCGGAGGCTGTGGTGAGCTGAGATCATGCCATTGCACTCCAGCCTGGGCAACAAGAGTGAAACTCTGTCTCAAAAAAAAAAGTAAAGAAATTCCAACTCAGAATTTCATATCCGGCAAACTAAGCTTCAGAAAAGCAAATGCTGAGGGAATTTGCTACCACCAGACCTGCTTTACAAGAGCTCCTGAAGGAAGCACTATATATGGAAAGGAAAGATCATTACCAGCCACTACAAAAACACACTGAAGTACAGAGACCAGTGACACTATAAAGCAACCACATAAATAAGTCTGCAAAATAACCAGCTAACATCATGATGACAGGATCAAATTCACACCTATCAATACTGATCTTAAATGTAAATGAGCTAAATGCCCCAATGAGAAGACTCGAGAGTGGCAAGCTGGATAAAGAACCAAGACCCATTATTATGCTGTCTTCAAGAGATGCATCTCACATGTAATGATACACATAGGCTCAAAATAAAGGGATGGAGGAAAATTTATCAAGCAGATGGAAAGCAGAAAAAACTCAGTGGTTGTAATCCTAGTTTCTGACAAAACGACTTTAAAGCAACAAAGATCAAAAAAGACAAAGAGAGGTATTATGTAATGGTAAAGGGTTCAATTCAACAAAGAGATCTAACTACTCTAAATATATATGTACCCAACACAGGAGTACACAGATTCATAAAGCAACCTCTTACAGACCTTCAAAGAGACTTAGACTCCCACACAATAATAGTGGGAGACTTTAACACACCATTGACAATATTAGACAAATCATCAAGATAGAAAATTAACAAAGATATCCAGGACCTGAACTCAGCACTGGATCAAATGGACCTGGCAGATATCTACAGAAATCTACACCTAAAAAACAATAGAATATACATTCTTCTCATTGCTGCACTGCACATACTCTAAAATTAATCACATAATCGGAAGTAAAACACTCTTCAGGAAATGCAAAAGAATGGAAATCATAACGAAGAGTCTCTCAGACCGCAGCACAATCAAATTAGAAATAAAGACTAAGAAATGTACTCAAAACCATACAATTACATGTAAATTGAATAACCTGCTCCTGAGTGACTTTGGGGTAAATAATGAAATTAAGGCAGAAATGAATAAGTTATTTGAAACTAATGAGGTCAAAGATACAACATATCAGAATCTCTGGAACACAGATAAGGCAGTGTTAAGAGGGAAATTTATAGCACCAAATGCCCACATCAAAAAGTTAGAAAAATCTCAAGTTAACAACCTAAAATCACAACTAAAACAAGTCCCAAAGATAGCAGAAGACAAGAAATAACCAAAATCAGAGCTGAGAGCTGAACTGAAGGAGATTGAGGAAATAAAAACCATTCAATAGATCAATGAATGCAGGAGCTGGTTTTTGAAAACATTAATAAAATAGTTAGACCACTAACTAGACTAACAAAGAAGAAAAGAGAGATGATTCACATAAAAATAATGAGAAACAAACAGTGGGATATTACCGCTGACCCCACAGAAATACAAAAAAATATCAGAGGATATTGTGAACACCTCCATGCACATAAACTAGAAAATCTAGATGAAATGGATAAATTCTTGGACACATACATGCTCCCAAGACTGAACCAGGAAGAAACTGAACCCCTGAAGAGACCAATCCTGAGCTCTAAAATTGAGGGAATAATAAATAGCCTACCAACTAAAAAAAGTCCAGGACCAGACGGCTTCACAGCTGAATTATACCAGATGCACAAAGAAGAGCTGGTACCATTCCTACTGAAACTATTCCAAAAAATGGAGGAGGAGGGACTCCTCCTCCCTAATTCATTCTATGAGGGCAGCATCATCCTGATACCAAAACCTGACAAAGAAACAACGAAAAAAGAAAGCTTCAGGCAAATATCCTTGATGAACAATAATGCAAAAATCCTGAACAAAATACTGGCAAATCAAACCCAGCAGCACATCAGTTAGCTTATCCACCATGATCAAGTAGTTTTGATTCCTGGGATGCAAGGTTGGTTCAACATATGCAAATCAATAAATGTGATACATCACATAAACAGAACTAAAAACAAATCCATAATTTAAAGCTGTTAACTGATCATTTCCCCCCCAAGTTCTCTATTGCACTTAAAGGCAAACAAAACCCTTACATTCTTTATTGTCACTAACAGTAATCTATAAAAGCAGCTACTTGGTCATCTAAAGCCTTGTCTCTGATAAACAGTTCACAAGTGAAATTTAAGTAACTATTTTCTCACTGCATGCGACAAGCTACCAGTGCCTCTTTAGCATTGGAAATAAGGTCATTTTAAATGTATCAGATCTGAGAACCTATTCAAGCTAAATAGATACAGAAAAGGCTTTCAATAAAATTCAAATCCATTCATGTTAAAAACTCTCAATACACTAGGTATTGAAGGAACATAACTCAAAATAATAAGAGCCATCCATGACAAACCCACTGCCAACATCATATTGAAATGGCAAAAGCTGTAAACATTGCCCTTGAAAACTGGCACGAGATAAGGATGCCCTCTCTCACCACTCCTATTCAACATAGTATTGAAAGTTCTGGCTAGGGCAATCAGGCAAGAGAAAGAAATAAAGGCATCCAAATAGGAAGAGAGGATGTCAAACTATCCTGGTTTGCAGACAACATGATCCTGTATCTAGAAAACTCCATAGTCTCATCCCAAAAGCTTTTAAGCTGATAAACAACTTCAGCAAAGTCTCAGGATACAAAATCAATGTGCAAAAATCACTAGCATTCCTATACACCAACAACGTCAAGCTGAGAGCCAAATCAGGAGTGAACTCCCATTCACATTTGCCACAAAAAGAATAAAATACCTGGGAATATAGCTAACCAGGGAGGTGAAAGGTCTCTACAAGAACTATAGCCAGGCATGGTGGCTCATGCCTGTAATCCCAGCACTTTGGGAGGCCAAGGAGGGTGGATCACCTGAGGTCGGGAGTTTGAGATCAACCTGACCAACATGGAGAAAACCCGTCTCTACTAAAAATACAAAATTAGCCGGGTGTGGTGGCACATGCCTGTAATCCCAGCTACTCAGGAGGCTGAGGTAGGAGAATCGCTTGAACCCAGGAGGCAGAGGTTGCAGTGAGCTGAGATTGCACCATTGCACTCCAGCCTGGGCAACAAGAGTGAAACTTTGTCTCAAAAAAAAAAAGAACTATAAACAACTGCTCAAAGACATAAGAAATCAGAGGACATAAACAAACAGAAAAACATTCCATGCTCATGGATAGAAAGAATCAATATCATTAAAATGGCCATACTGCCCAAAGCAATTTATAGATTTAATGCTATTCCTATTGAACTGCCATTGAGATTCTTTACAGAACTAGATAAAACTATTTTAAAATTCATATGGAATAAAAAACAAGCTTGAATAGCCAAGGCGATTCTAAGCAAAAAGAATGAAGCTGGGGGTTGGGCACAGTGGCTCACGCCTGTAATCCTAGCACCTTGGGAGGCCAAGGCAGGTGGCCAAGGCAGGCTGAGGCTGAGGTCAAGAATTTAAGACCAGTCTGGCCAACATAGTGAAACCTCATCTCTACTAAAAATACAAAAATTAGCTGGGCATGGTGGCGGGTGCCTGTAATCCCAGCTACTAGGGAGGCTGAGGCAGGAGAATTGCTTGAACCAAGGAGGCAGAGATTGCAATGAGAGAGCAAAAACTCCATCTCAAAAAATAATAATAATAATAACACAAAGAATGAAGCTGGAGTGATCATACCATCTGACCTCAAGCTATACTACAGGATTATAGTAACCAAAACAGCATGGTACTGATACAAAAACAGACACATACATAAGTGGAACAGAATTGAGAACCCAGAAATAAGACCACACACCTACAACTATCTGATCTTCTACAAACCTGACAAAAACAAGCAATGGGGAGAGGATTCCATATTCAATAAATGGTGCTGGGATAACTGGTAGCCATATGCAGACTAAAACCAAACTCCTTCCTTACACCATGTACTAAAAGTAACTCGAGATGGATTAAAGACTTAAATGTAAAACCCAAAACTATAAAAACCCTAGAAGACAATGAAGGCTATACCATTCAGAACATAGGCATGAGCAGAGATTTCATGACAAAGATGCCAAAAGCAATTGCAACAAAAACAAAAATTGACAAATAGGATCTAATTAAACTAAAGAACTTCTGCCCAGCAAAAGAAACTATCAACACAGTAAACAGACAATCTAGAGAATGGGAGAAAATTTTTGCAAACTATGCATCCAACAAAGGTCTAATATCCAGCATCTGTACAGAAGTTAAACAAATTTACAAGAAAAAAAAACATTAAAAAGTGGGCAAAGGACATGAACAGACACTTCTCAAAAGAAGACATACAGGTGGTCAGCATCATATGAAAAAAAGCTCAACATCATTTTTCATTAAAGAAATGCAAATCAAAACAACAATGAGATACCATCTCACACCAGTCAGAATGGCTATTACTAAAAAGTCAAAAAATAACCGATGTTGATGAGGTTGTGGAGAAAGAGGAACTTATACACTGTTGGTGGGAGCAGAAATTATTTCAACCATTGTGGAAGACAGTGTGGCGATTCCTCAGAGACCTAAAGACAGAAATACCATTCGACCCAGCAATACCATTACTGGGTATATACCCAAAGGAATATAAATCATTATATTATAAAAAGACACATGCATGCATATTTTCATTGCAGCACTATTCACAATAGCAAAGACATGGAATCAACCTAAATGCCCATCAATGATAGACTTGATAAAGAAAATGTGGTACATATGCACCACAAAATACTATGCAGCCATTAAACAGAATGAGATCATATCATTTGCAGGGACATGGATGGAGCTGGAGCCCATTATCCTTAGCAAACTAATACAGGAACAGAAAACCAAATACTGCATGTTCTCACTTATAAGTGGGAGCTAAATGATGAGAACATGTGGATACAAAGAGGGAAACAACACACACTGGGACCTATCAGAGAATGGAGGGTAGGAGGAGGGAACGGATCAGAAAAAATAACTAATGGGTACTAGGCTTAATACCTGGGTGATGAAGTAATCTGTACCACAAACCCCCATCACACAAGCTTACCTGTGTAACAAACCTGCACTGTATCCCTGAATTTAAAATAATTTTTTTAAAGTTGATATCATGGGAGAGAGTAGAATGGTGGTCACCAGAGGATGGGTAAAGAAGAAATGTTGGTCAAAGGGTATGAAGTTTCAGTTACAAAAAAGGAATACATTGTAGAGATTTATTGCACAGCATGGTAACTGTGGTTAACTATAATGTATTATATATTTCATAATTGTTGGAAGAGCATATTTTAAATGTTCTCACCACAAAAAAAATAGGTCAGGGGATGGATATGTTCATTAACTTGATTTACTCTTTCAACAATGTATACAGATAGCAAAACAACATATTATATCCCATAAATATAGACAATTATTTGTCAATTAAAAATTTATGAAAACTTTTTTAAAAAAAAACAGATGCTCCTTTATCCCCTGCTTTCAAATCTCATGCAAATTTCCCTTGCTGCTAAGCCCAACACAAAACCAACAGGAAGAAAATTTTGGGAGACATATTTTTAGCTCAGCTAAGTTGACCAACAACCAAGTTATCAGAAGGGACTTTGGAGGTACTGGCAGCATTCTTTTTCTTTTCGTGGATGGTTGGGGGCTGGAGGTGTCCACAAGCATAGCTTTTAAATTATTCATTAAATGTATATTTACAACTTATGTGATTTTGTAATTACTTATTTTTAATGCTTTTTAAATGTTTATGCTTTTTAAATGTTTTAAATGTTATTTTAAATGTTATAAAACATTTTAAATGTTATATAAAATGTTTGTAAATGTTATTTTTTATAAGTCTAAAATTTCTCCACTAATCCTCATATTTCCATGGAGAAGAGAGGATTTCTGACCAAGCCTACAAAAGGGAGAACCAATGAAATCTCCTCAGAGGAAACACTTCCAGTCTGTCTTTCTGATCCCTTACTTGCTGTTTCTCTTGGGAGAGATGCCTAATCCAATTGGCCTATCACACCGGTAGATGTCACAAAAACAAGATGCTATTTATTGACTCTCCCTTGGCCTCTTGACTTACTTATCACCATGCACGGCAGGTGTCTGTACTTCTAGACCCCATGCAGTAGGCCCCTTAGTAGGGTCTTCCCTTCTCCCACAGAAGGGGCAAGCCATTCTATGGTTGCACAGCTACGTCCAAGGCATAATAAACCTGGCTCTCCTCTCTGTTGGCCCAGTCATCTTTAATTCAGGGGAAAGCATTGGTAACTCCATCCACATTGGCCTAAGGTCCAAGCTTCATTCTCAAATCCATCTTTGTCATTATTTCAGTACCCATTTGACTCATTCCTGTGTTTATATTATATCAGCCAGAACTCTTATGTCTCCACCAGCATTAGAATCTGGGACTCTGACATAAGGTCATAAGGTTCAGGAAAAGAAGTCTCCAAGTAGTGGGGATCCCTCAAAATCATGTGGTAACAGCATTATAGTACCAAATCATCTATCTGGAAACAATTGAGACCTGATGACAGGATTTAGCCCTGATCAATTACTGGGGGCCAGGGTCCTAAGACTCATCACTCCCTCTAAGCATCTGGCCAAGTGTATGCACTCAAATATGCAAGCCAAGTAGAAAACAAGTGTCATTTTTTCATATCTGTGAAAGTCCCCTACGAACTCCAAAGGCAACCCTTATTCATTGAAAATTAGCTATTGCCCAACCAACCCAACCCCTAAAAAATGTGGCCTGTTAGGCAAGTTTGCCCTGAAGTTGGCATCATGCAAAAATATGTCATTTAGGGGACAATTAGAGTCTCTGATAATTTTTACAAAGCTAATGTGCTTCTGCAAGAACTGTTCATGTGGTATTAAAAGTCAGTGAACACTTTTAACTTTTATTTGCATTCCATTTTTATACTTACCAGAAAGAAAAAAGTGCAGAAAACACTCTCCCTATATCAAACTACAAATTCCAGCTCAGTTCAAGAAACTAAGAGTAGGGACCCTGCCTTCTAACTGATGCATAAAAGAGTGGAGGTGCTGCTTTTTAAAAAGGAGGCTAATAATAAAGCAAGAACAGCCAGTAACAGTCCTGGGCAGGGAAGAAATCAGCCAAACTCTTGCCAAAAATTATTGTATTAAATGCTAAATCCTACTTTAAGGTAGCAACCAAAATTTAATCTTTTCAAATGTTTCCCTTTATGAGTAGAGCCTCCTACTATTTTCTAAGAGGCGGAAGCACTGCTCTTTGCAAAGTGATTGACTTTTTTGACAGGAGCCAGAATTTAAAACTGGCATTGAAACTCAGAAAATCTGAAACCAGGAAGAAGAAAGAAACAATTGTTTATTGTATGCTCCATACACATTTTCAGTATATTGATGCCATGTTTGCCAGAGAACAAATTTCCAAAGTCTGATTGCAGACCTCCTATCTCCTGACTTTTCACCTGCCTCTGTAAGTGTATGATGAGATGGTACTGGTGATTATTCGGAGCCATCACCAGGGGCTGCTTCCACTAAGAGCAGCCCAGTTAAGCAACACTTCCATGGTGTTTCTTATAGTGACCAATGGACCATATCCATCTACCCCAGGTCAATGAAATCCCTTGGCAAATGAGGCACTTATGTGGAATTTCACATGACTGGCCATATTCAGGCAGAGCCTTGACAAGGAGGATGTGGAAAAGATTCTAATTTGAGGGGAGAAAGTTGGGGCAGAGCTAGCCGGGGTGGCAGATGAGATGTTGTTTTTTAAATGTTCTAGAGATCAGAATAGGTGTGCGGGTTCAGAAGATCATTCAGGCATACCAAAATAATGGCACCTCCTCTTCACTGTGGAATGTTTTAAAATGACTGCTAAAATTGCCGGGCACAGTGGCTCATGCCTGTAATCCCAGCACTTTGGGAGGCCAAGGCAGGCAGATTACATGAGGCCAGGAGTTCGAGACCAGCCTGGCCAACATGGTGAAACCCCGTCTGTACTAAAAATACAAAAATTAGCCGGGTGTGGTGGTACGTGCCTGTAGTCCCAGCTACTCAGAAGACTGAGGCCCAAGAATCGCTTGAACCTGGGAAGCAGAGGTTGCAGTGAGTCAAGATTGTGCCACTGCACTCCAGCCTGGGTGGAGACAGAGTTAGACTCTGTCTCAAAAAAAAAAAAAAAAAAAAAAAAAGGAAAAAGAAAAGAAAAAAAGAAAAGATAAATAAATAAATAAATAAAACGACTAATAAAAATGAAAATATCTTCCCTTTAACATATTTTCAAAGCCTTCAGTAATAAAAAATATCTGCTTCTTTAGCCATTTCGCATGCTTAAAGAAAAACTTACAATGCCATTAGCATGGAAACTGTGAACTCTAAGCCGCCAAGTATTAAAAAACATATAAAAAGACGTTTAATCTTGAGATTTAACTCTGAATCCTCAGTCTTCCCAAAACATGCTCTAATGATCAGACATCCTAATGTGTTGATCATAGATCTGTAAAGAAGGTCATAGCCTCATAGAAACACATATCAGTTGTTTAAACTTAGGCATTAGATGAGAAAGAAATAATTGATAATTAAGGGAACGGAAGTTGAGGCTCGGCATGGGAATCCAGAAAGAAGTATCTACAACTGAAATAAAAGGTGAGAAATACAATATATTCTGGGAAAAACTTATGGCCATAGGACCTAGGATTATTCTATGACGCCTGTTCTCTTTGTTTTCTATTTATCCTTTATCACAAAGCTCCATATGCCCTACGCTCCAATTATATAAAATATAGCTTATTAAGTGTTCTACCCTAATACTCCTCCCACACCATTTCTTCCTTTAGCAGAGAACATTGTAGATAAAAGTCTTTTTAAAAATAAAATGTTTGCATAGACACAAAGGACATGATTTTTATCTTCACATTCCTTATGAAGACAAACCACAGTGGTCTTTGTTCCCTGTATCCTGAGAGCCTAGAACAGTGCCTGGCACATAGTTAAGTGTTTGTCTTAACCTTGAATCCCCAGAAAGCAAAGCTGAAGACAAGAGTTTTAAGTTCAACTACTTTGCCTGTGAATGAAATGCCAGGGAAGCAAAAGTGAGGATGAAGATAAGGGGTTATGAAGCAAGAGGGAGAACCATTCCTTAAGATGAATACCAAGGGCAAATATTTGCCCCATCTCAAGACATCATCTTCTGCTAAGCATAGAAACTGCACCTCAAGACTGTCCTCTGAGGGAAGAATTCATCCACTAGCCCCATTTCCCTTGTACTCCCTTGCCTTTTTGAGCTGTGTATGCATGGGTGCTGTACAGGGACCCCCAGAACCTCCTTCCTTGTGGTCAACAGAAAAGGAGCAAGTAGCTCAGTGTGGGATAGTTGCCCCTGGAGGAAGCTGGTAGGAGCACACACAGAGACAGGTGAGGAGGAGAGGACCTGCAGTGGTGCATAAAAGGAGTCTGATACAGCACTCAATAAATATTTGCTGAATGAATGTGTTTTTTTTTTTATAACGGTTCCAGTTATTGATTGAAGAGGGGTAAAAAGTCAGCAGTAACTCATCATCATAATCATCTGTAGTTTAGTGAAGAAAAGACACAGGTCGCCCTTTGAAAGAGCTTGTTACTTGGAATAATTTTAATATTTGCTGATTTTAAAAACATTTTTCCAATTGTCAGCTTGGCATAACTGGAACTGATTAGTGACAAAAAGTGATAGATGATGCACCTGTCCCTCACTTGAACTGAAGAAAAATTGTTCATAAAAGCATGGACATTTCCACAAGCATCATTAGTAACAAATATCTGCTGAGTTAGCTTTTATGCTCCTTCAAATTAGCCACTCTCTCACATACTGATCCTTCCCACATTGCAGCATCACTTTGTTACTACAACTCATCCTTTAAAGCTTAGCTGAAAAATCACTGCTACCAGGAAGCCTTCTCTCTCTCTCTCTCTCCCTCCCTCCCCTTCCTCTCTATTTCCAATTTGTGCTAGGTGCTTTCAAGTTACTCAGTTTTACTGCTATTATTGCATCTCTCACATTCTATTGTAACTGTGATTGTCTATCTCCCTCACTAAATTATCAACAGTGGTGGGACTGAGACATTTATCTTCCTAGCACCAGACACATAGCAGGCATCCTATGAATTTCAGCAGAACCAAAGAATGTGTAAGTCACTGAATCAGTGTTTGACAAAACTGCAAAGGATATTGGGAAATGAACAGTAGCTGATGTTTATCACTGGTTGGGTTAGGGAAATCTTAGAGGAGCTGGATGTGGGCTGGATGCAGAAGGAAGATGAGACTCATGGATTTGGGGAGAAGGAAAATTGCATTACAGTTGGGTTTCTGGCCATGAGACAGAAATGCACTTAACCTACCATAAAGCAGTGAATTATCTAGCTAGGCAGGGGCAGAAAGATCTGGAGCACTTCACAGAGAATAAAACTGAACAGGAAAGTCAGAGTGAGATTGTAGAGAGCATCAAATGTCAGGCTAAGCAGCTTTGCCTTTTTCTTCTATTTTATATTCTCAGAATTTTCAAAGCAGTAGGCAACATGACCAAGTGGAGTTTCAAATGGCTGGTAGATGTGTGGAAGAGTAATTAGAAAAGAGAAACCAATTACACAGAGAAGAAAAAAGCAATTCCCTTTGTCAAACTATGAGCCAAGGAAGTAAGACAAAGTTTGGCTTTAGAAAAAATAATTTGGGAGGATTTAAAGATTATACAAGTTCGGTGATTTCCTATTCTTTGTTTAGAGTTAACGTTCTCCAAGACGTAACCTGAACTCCATAATCTACCCTGATTTCTTCATCTCCTGCCAAACTGAACTGTTAGTGCATACATGACCTCTATTGCCTCATGTCTGGGAAAATCTTGGTGCCCGGAATACTCTCCCTTCTACCCATTTTCTTCTGTCAAAGCCTGAACTGCACTTTAATTCTCTTTTCTAAGCTATCTCATCCACAATAGAAAGTATATGTACATCACAATTAGAAGAACTAGAGAAGAAAGAGCAAATAAATTCAAAAGCTAGCGGAAGAAATAAATAACTAAGATCAGAGCAGAACTGAAGGAGATAGAGACATGGAAAACCCTTCAAAAAATCAATGAATCCAGGAGCTGGTTTTTTGAAAATATTAACAAAATAGCTAGGCCACTAGCCAGACTAATAAAGAAGAAAAAAGAGGTCACTTCCAAGATGGCCAAATAGGAACAGCTCCGGTCTACAACTCCCAGTGAAATTGACACAGAAGATGGGTGATCTCTGCATTTCCAACTGAGGTACCTGGTTCATCTCATTGGGACTGGTTGGACAGTGGGTGCATCCCAAGGAGGGTGAGCCAAAGCAGGGCAGGGCATCACTTCACCTGGGAAGTGCAAGGGGTTGGGAGATTTCCCTTTGCTAGCCAAAGGAAGCCATGAGTGACTGTACTTGGAGGAATGGTACACTCCTGCCCAAATACCATGCTTTTACCATGGTCTTCACAACTGGCAGACCAGGAGATTCCCTCCCATGCTTGGCTAGGCAGTTCACACGTCCATGGAGCCTTGCTCACTGCCAGCGCAGCAGACTGAGATTGACCTGGGATGCTGGAGCTTAGTGAGGGGAGGGGTATCCACCATTGCTGAGGCTTGAGTAGGCGGTTCTATGCTCACAGTGTAAACAAAGAGGCAGGGAAGCTTGAATTGGGTGGAGCCCACCGCAGCTCAGCAAGGCCTACTGCCTCTATAGATTCCACCTCTGGGGGCAGGGCATATCTGAACAAAAGGCAGCAGACAGCTTCTGCAGACTTAAATGTCCCTGCCTGACAGCTCTGAAGACAGCAGTGGTTCTCCCAGCATGGCTTTCGAGCTCTGATAACTGACAGAATCCCTCCTCAAATGGGTCCCTGACCCCAGTGTAGCCTGACTGGGAGACACCTGCCAGTAGGGGCTGACAAACACCTCATAGAGGTGGGTGCCCTTCTGGGACAAAGCTTCCAGGGGAAGGATCAGGCAGCAATATTTGCTGTTCTGCAGCCTTTACCAGTGATACCCAGGCAAACAGGGACTGGAGTGGACCTCCAGCAAACTCCAACAGACCTGCAGCTGAGGGGCCTGTCTGTTAGAAGGAAAACTAACTAACAGAAAGGAACAGCATCAACATCAACAAAAAGGACATCCACGCCAAAACCCCATCCATAGGTCACCAACATCAAAGACCAAAGGTAGATAAAACCACAAAGATGGAGAGAAACCAGAGCAGAAAGGCTAAAAATTCCAAAAACCAGAACACCTCTTCTCCTCCAAAGGAACAAAACTCCTCACCAGCAAGGGGACAAAACT
Source organism: Homo sapiens (assembly GCF_000001405.40). Lineage (NCBI taxonomy): Eukaryota > Metazoa > Chordata > Mammalia > Primates > Hominidae > Homo > Homo sapiens. The sequence continues at coordinate 118,422,166 of NC_000006.12, forward strand.
GAGTGGAGAATGAGTTTGACAAGTTGACAGAAGTAGGCTTCAGAAGTTCAGTAATAACAAACTTCTCTGAGCTAAAGGAGCACATTCTAACCCATTGCAAGGAAGCTAAAAACCTAGAAAAATGTTAGATGAATGGTGAACTAGAATAATCAGTGTAGAGAAGAGCTTAAATGACCTGATGGAGCTGAAAACCACAGTACGAGAACTTCATGAAGCATACACAAGCTTCAATAGCTGATTCAATCAAGTGGAAGAAAGGATATCAGTGATTGAATATCAAATTAATGAAATAAAATCAGAAGACAAGATTAGAGAAAAAAGAGTGCAAAGAAATGAACAAAGCCTCCAAGAAATATGGGACAATGTGAAAAGGCCAAAGCTACGTTTGATTGGTGTACCTGAAAGTGACAGGGAGAATGGAACCAAGTTAGAAAACACTCTTCAGGATATTATCCAGAAGAACTTCCCCAACCTAGCAGGGCATGCCAAAATCCAAATTCAGGAAATACAGAGAACACCGCAAAGACATTCCTCAAAAAGAGCAACCATAAGACACATAATTGCCAGATTCACCAAGGTTGAAATGAAGGAAAAAATGTTAAGGGCAGCCAGAGAGAAGGGTCGGGTTACCCACAAAGTGAAGCCCATCAGACTAACAGCAGATCTCTCAGCAGAAATCCTACAAGCCAGAAGAGAGTGGGGGTCAATATTCAACATTCTTAAAGAAAAGAATCTTCAACCCAGAATTTCATATCCAACCAAACTAAGCTTCATAAGTGAAGGAGAAATAAAACCCTTTACAGACAAGCAAATGCTGAGAGATTTTGTCACCACCAGACCTGCCTTACAAGAGCTCCTGAAGGAAGCCCATAATATGGAAAGGAACAACCAGTACCAGCCACCGCAAAAACACGCCAAATTGTAAAGACCATCGATGCTATGAAGAAACTGCATCAATTAATGGGCAAAATAACCAGCTAGCATCATAATGACAGGATCAAATTCACACATAACAATATTAACCTTAAATGTAAATGGGCTAATTCCCCAATTAAAAGACACAGACTGGCAAATTGGAAAAAGAGTCAAGATCAATCAGTGTGCTGTATTCAGGAGACCCATCTCACGTGCAAAGGCACACATAGGCTCAAAATAAAGGGATGGAGGAAGATCTGCCAAGCAAATGAAAAGCAAAAAAAAGCAGGGGTTGCAATCCTGCTGTCTGATAAAACAGACTTTAAGACAACAAAGATCAGAGGAGACAAAGAAAGGTTCATGACATAATGGTAAAGGGATCAATGCAGCAAGAAGAGCTAACTATCCTAAATATACATGCACCCAATACAGGAGCACCCAGATTCATAAAGCAAGTGCTTAGAGACCTACAAAGAGACTTAGACTCCCACACAATAATAGTGGGAGACTTTAACACCCCACTGTCAATATTAGACAGATCAACGAGACAGAAAATTAGCAAAGATATCCAGGATTGAACTCACCTCTGGATCAAGAGAACCTAATAGACATCTACAGAACTCTCCACCCCAAATCAACAGAATATACATTCTTCTCAGCAACACATCATGCTTATTCTAAAACTGACCACATAATTGGAAGTAAACACTCCTCAGCAAATGTAAAAGAACAGAAATCACAACAAACAGTCTCTCAGACCACAGTGCCATCAAATTAGAACGCAGGATTAAGAAACGCACTCAAAACTGCACAACTACATGGAAACTGAACAACCTGCTCCTGAAGATTGAACTACTAGGTAAATAACAAAACTGAGGCAGAAATAAAGACGTTCTTTGAAACCAATGAGAACAAAGACACAACGTACCAGAATCTCTGGGACACATTTAAAGCAGTGTGTAGTGGGAAATTTATAGCACTAAATGCCTACAAGAGAAAGCAGGAAAGATCTAAAATCGACACCCTAACATCACAATTAAAAGAACTAGAGAAGCAGGAGCAAACAAATTCAAAAGCTAGCAGAAGACAAGAAATAACTAAGATCAGAGCAGAACTGAAGCAGGTAGAAACACAAAAAAACCCTTCAAAAAGTCAAAGAATCCAGCAGCTTGTTTTCTGAAAAGATCAACAAAACAGACCACTAGCAAGCCTAATAAAGAAGAAAAGAGAGAAGAATCAAATAGATGCAATAAAAAAATGATAAAGGGGATATCACCACTGATCCCACAGAAAAACTACCATCAGAGAATACTATAAACACCTCTATGCAAATAAACTAGAAAATCTAGAAGAAATGGATAAATTCCTGGACACATACACCCTCCCAACACTAAACCAGGAAGAAGTTGAATCTCTGAATAGACCAGTAACAGGTTCTGAAATTGAGGCAATAATTAATAGCCTAACAACCAAAAAATGTCCAGGACTAGACAGATTCACAGCCGAATTCTAACAGAGGTGCAAAGAGGATCTGGTACCATTGCTTCTGAAACTATTCCAATCAATAGAAAGAGAGGGAATCCTCCCTAACTCATTATATGAGGCCAGCATCAGCCTGATACCAAAGCCTGGCAGAGACACACAGAAAAAAGAGAATTTCAGACCAATGTCCCTGATGAACATCGATGCGAAAATCCTCAATAAAATACTGGCAAACCAAATCCAGCAGCACATCAAAAAGGTTATCCACAATGATCAAGTGGGCTTCATCTGTGGGATGCAAGGCTGGTTCAACATACATAAATCAAAAAATGTAATCCATCACATAAACAGAACCAACCAAAAAAACCACATGATTATCTCAATAGATGCAGAAAAGACCTTCAATAAAATTCAACAGCCTTTCATGCTAAAAACTCTCAATAAACTAGGTATTGATGGAATGTATCTCCAATAATAAGAACTATTTATGACAAACCCACAGCCAATATCATACTGAATAGGCGAAAACTGGAAGCATTCCCTTTGAAAACCATCACAAGACAAAAATGCCCTCTCTCACCACTCTTATTCAACATAGTATTGGAACTTCTGGCCAGGGCAATCAGGCAAGAGAAAGAAATAAAGGGTATTTAAATAGGAAAAGAGGAAGTCAAATTGTCCCTGTTTACAGATGACATGATTGTATATTTAGAAAACCCCATCATCTCAGCCAAAAATCTCAAGCTCATATGCAACTTCAGCAAAGTCTCAGGATACAAAATCAATGTGCAAAAATCACAAGCATTCCTATACACCAACAACAGACAAACAGAGAACCAAATCACAAGTGAATTCCCATTCACAATAACTACAAAGAGAATAAAATACCTAGGAATCCAACTTACAAGGGATGTGAAGGACCTCTTAAAGAGAACTACAAACTACTGCTCAATGAAATAAAAGAGGACATAAACAAATGAAAGAACATTCCATGCTCATGGATAGGAAGAATCAGTATTGTGAAAGTGGCCACACTGCCCAAAGTAATTTGTAGATTCAACGCTATTCCCATCAAGCTACCATTGACTTTCTTCACAGAATTGGAAAAAAGACTACTTTAAATTTCATATGGAACCAAAAAATAGCCTGCATAGCCAAGGCAATCTTAAGCAAAAAGAACAAAGCTGGAGGCATCATGCTACCTGACTTCAAACTATACTACAAGGCTACAGTAACAAAACAGCATGGTAATGGTACCAAAACAGATATATAGACCAAAGGAACAGAACAGAGGCCTCAGAAATAACATCACACATCTACAACCATCTGATGTTTGACAAACCTGACAAAAAACAAGCAATGGGGAAAGGATTCCCTATTTAATAAATGGTGTTGGGAAAACTGACAGGCCATGTGTAGAAAACTGGAACTGGATCCCTTTCTTACACCTTCTACAAAAATTAACTCAAGATGGATTAAAGACTTAAACATAAGACCTAAAACCATAAAAATCCTAGAAGAAAATCTAGGCAATACCATTCAGGACATAGGCATGGGCAAAGACTTCATGACTAAAACACCAAAAGCAATGGCAATAAAAGCGAAAATTGACAAATGGGATCTAATTAAACTAAAGAGCTTCTGCATAGCAAAGGAAACTATCATCAGAGTGAACAGGCAACCTAAAGAATGGGAGAAAATTTTTGAAATCTGTCCATCTGACAAAGGGCTAATATCCAGAATATACAAAGAACTTAAACAAATTTACAAGAAAAAACAAACAACCCCATCAAAAAGTGGGCAAAGGAGATGAACAGACACTTCTCAAAAGAAGACACTTATGCAGCCAACAGACATATGAAAAAATGCTCATCATCACTGCTCATCAGAAAAATGCAAATCAAAACCACAATGAGATACCATCTCATGCCAGTCAGAATGGCAATCATTAAAAAGTCAGGAAACAAATTTGTGGAGAAATAGGAATGCTTTTACACTGTGGGTGGGAGTGTAAATTAGTTCCACCATTTTGGAAGACAGTGTGGCAATTCCTCAAGGATCTAGAACCAGAAATACCATTAGGCCAGCAATCCCATTACTGGGTATATACCCAAAGGTTTATAAATCATGCTACCATAAAGACACATGCACATATATGTTTATTGCAGCACTATTCACAATAGTAAAGACTTGGAACCAACCCAAATCCCCTTCAATAATAGACTGGATAAAGAAAATGTGGTGATTACAGGGGCAAGATGGCCGAATAGGAACAGCTCCAGTCTACAGCTCCCAGCGTGAGCAACGCAGAAGACGGGTGATTTCTGCTTTTCCATCAGAGGTACCGGGTACATCTCACTAGGGAGTGCCAGACAGTGGGCACAGGACAGTGGGTGCAGTGCACTGTGTGCGAGCTGAAGCAGGGTGAGGCATTGCCTCACTCGGGAAGCGCAAGGGGTCAGAGAGTTCACTTTCCTAGTCAAAGAAAGGGGTGACAGACGGCACCTGGAAAATCGGGTCAGTCCCACCCTAATACTGCGCTTTTCCGACAGGCTTAAAAAACAGCGCACCAGGAGATTATATCCCACACCTGGCTCAGAGGGTCCTATGCCCACGGAGTCTCGCTGATCGCTAGCACAGCAGTCTGAGATCAAACTGCAAGGTGGCAGGGAGGCTGGGGGAGGGGCGTCCGCCATTGCCCAGGCTGCTTAGGTAAACAAAGCAGCCGGGAAGCTCAAACTGGGTGGAGCCCACCACAGCTCAAGGAGGCCTGCCTGCCTCTGTAGGCTCCACCTCTGGGGGCAGGGCACAGACAAACAAAAAGACAGCAGTAACCTCTGCAGACTTAAATGTCCCTGTCTGACAGCTTTGAAGAGAGCAGTGGTTTTCCCAGGACGCAGCTGGAGATCTGAGAACGGGCAGACTGCCTCCTCAAGTGGGTCCCTGACCCCTGACCACCAAGCAGCCTAAATGGAGGCACCCCCCAGTAGGGGCAGACTGACACCTCACACGGCCAGGTGCTACTCTGAGACAAAACTTCCAGAGGAACAATCAGGCAGCAGCATTCGTGGTTCACGAAAATCCACTGTTCTGCAGCCACCGCTGCTGGTACCCAGGCAAACAGGGTCTGGAGTGGACCTCTGGCAAACTCCAACAGACCTGCAGCTGAGGGTCCTGTCTGTTAGAAGGAAAACTAACAAACAGAAAGGACATCCACACCAAAAACCCATCTGTTCATCACCATCATCAAACACCAAAAGTAGATAAAACCACAAAGATGGGGAAAAAACAGAGCAGAAAAACTGGAAACTCTAAAAAGCAGAGCGCCTCTCCTCCTCCAAAGGAACGCAGCTCCTCACCAGCAACGGAACAAAGCTGGATGGAGAATGACTTTGACGAGTTGAGAGAAGAAGGCTTCAGACGATCAAACTACTCCAAGCTAGAGGAGGAAATTCAAACCAAAGGCAAAGAAGTTAAAAACTTTGAAAAAATTTAGACAAATGTATAACTAGAATAACCAATACAGAGAAGTGCTTAAAGGAGCTGATGGAGCTGAAAACCAAGGCTCGAGAACTACATGAAGAATGCAGAAGCCTCAGGAGCCGATGTGATCAACTGGAAGAAAAGGTATCAGTGATGGAAGATGAAATGAATGAAATGAAGTGAGACGGGAAGTTTAGAGAAAAAAGAATAAAAAGAAACGAACGAAGCCTCCAAGAAATATGGGACTATGTGAAAAGACCAAATCTACGTCTGATTGGTGTACCTGAAAGTGATGGGGAGAACGGAACCAAGTTGGAAAACACTCTGCAGGATATTATCCAGGAGAACTTCCCCAATCTAGCAAGGCAGGCCAACATTCAGATTCAGTAAATACAGAGAACGCCACAAAGATACTCCTCAAGAAGAGCAACTCCAAGACAAATAATTGTCAGATTCACCAAGGTTGAAATGAAGGAAAAAATGTTAAGGGCAGCCAGAAAGAAAGGTCGGGTTACCCACAAAGGGAAGCCCATCAGACTAACAGCAGATCTCTTGGCAGAAACTCTACAAGCCGGAAGAGAGTGGGGGCCAATATTCAACATTCTGAAAGGAAAGAATTTTCAACCCAGAATTTCATATCCAGCCAAACTAAGCTTCATAAGTGAAGGAGAAATAAAACCCTTTACAGACAAGCAAATGCTGAGAGATTTTGTCACCACCAGGCCTGCCCTAAAAGAGCTCCTGAAGGAAGCACTAAACATGGAAAGGAACAACCAGTACCAGCCACTGCAAAATCAAGCCAAATTGTAAAGACCATTGAGGCTAGGAAGAAACTGCATCAACTAACGAGCAAAATAACCAGCTAACATCATAATGACAGGATCAAATTCACACATAACAATATTAACTTTAAATATAAATGGACTAAATGCTCCAATTAAAAGACACAGACTGGCAAATTGGATAAAGAGTCAAGACCCATCAGCATGCTGTATTCAGGAAACCCATCTCACGTGCAGAGACACACATAGGCTCAAAATAAAAGGATGGAGGAAGATCTACCAAGCAAATGGAAAACAAAAAAAGGCAGGGGTTGCAATACTAGTCTCTGATAAAAACAGACTTTAAGCCAACAAAGATCAAAAGAGACAAGGCTATTACACAATGGTAAAGGGATCAATTCAACAAAAAGAGCTAACTATCCCAAATAAATATGCACCCAATACAGGAGCACCCAGATTCATAAAGCAAGTCCTGAGTGACCTACAAAGAGACTTAGACTCCCACACAATAATAATGGGAGACTTTAACACCCCATTGTCAACATTAGACAGATCAATGGGACAGAAAGTTAACAAGGATACCCAGGAATTGAACTCAGCTCTGCACCAAGAGGACCTAATAGATATCTACAGAACTCTCCACCCCATATCAACAGAATATACATTTTTTTCAGCACCACACCACACCTATTCCAAAATTGACCACATAATTAGAAGTAAAGCTCTCCTCAGCAAATGTAAAAGAACAGAAATTATAACAAACTGTCTCTCAGACCACAGTGCAATCAAACTAGAACTCAGGATTAAGAAACTCACTCAAAACCACTCAACTACATGGAAACTGAACAACCTGCTCCTGAATGACTACTGGGTACATAACGAAATGAAGACAAAAATAAAGATGTTCTTTGAAAGCAATGAGAACAAAGATACAACATACCAGAATCTCTGGGACACATTCAAAGCAGTGTGTAGAGGGAAATTTATAGCACTAAATGCCCACAAGAGAAAGCAGGAAAGATCCAAAATTGACACCCTAAGGTCACAATTAAAAGAACTAGAAAAGCAAGAGCAAACACATTCAAAAGCTAGCAGAAGGCAAGAAATAACTGAAATCAGAGCAGAACTGAAGGAAATAGACACACAAAAAACCCTTCAAAAAATCAATGAATCCAGGAGCTGGTTTTTTGAAAGGATCAACAAAATTGATAGACCGCTAGCAAGCCTAATAAAGAAGAAAAGAGAGAAGAATCAAATAGACGCAATAAAAAATGATGAAGGGGATATCACCACTGATCCCACAGAAATACAAACTACCATCAGAGAATACTATAAACAACTATATGCAAATAAACTAGAAAATCTAGAAGAAATGGATAAATTCCTGGACACACACACCCTCCCAAGACTAGACCAGGAAGAAGTTGAATCTCTGAATAGACCAGTAACAGGATCTGAAATTGTGGCAATAATCAATAGCTTACCCACCAAAAAGAGTCCAGGACCAGAAGGATTCACAGCCGAATTCTACCAGAGGTACAAGGAGGAACTGGTACCATTCCTTCTGAAACTATTCCAATCAATAGAAAAAGAGGGAATCCTCCCTAACTCATTTTATGAAGCCAGCATCATCCTGATACCAAAGCTGGGCAGAGACACAACCAAAAAAGAGAATTTTAGACCAATATCCTTGATGAACATTGATGCAAAAATCCTCAATAAAATACTGGCAAACCAAATCCAGCAGCACATCAAAAAGCTTATCCACCATGATCAAGTGGGCTGCATCCCTGGAATGCAAGGCTGGTTCAATATACACACATCAATAAATGTAATCCAGCTTATAAACAGAACCAAAGACAAAAACCACATGATTATCTCAATAGATGCAGAAAAGGCCTTTGACAAAATTCAACAACGCTTCATGCTAAAAACTCTCAATAAATTAGGTATTGATAGGACGTATCTCAAAATAATAAGAGCTATCTATGACAAACCCATGGCCAATATCATACTGAATGGGCAAAACCTGGAAGCATTCCCTTTGAAAATGGCACAAGACAGGGATGCCCTCTCTCACCACTCCTATTCAACATAGTGTTGGAAGTTCTGGCCAGGGCAATTAGGCAGGAGAAGGAAATAAAGGGTATTCAATTAGGAAAAGAGGAAGTCAAATTGTCCCTGTTTGCAGATAACATGATTGTATATCTAGAAAATCCCATTGTCTCAGCCCAAAATCTCCTTAAGCTGATAAGCAACTTCAGCAAAGTCTCAGGATACAAAATCAATGTACGAAAATCACAAGCATTCTTATACACCAATAACAGACAGAGAGCCAAATCATGAGTGAACTCCCATTCACAATTGCTTCAAAGAGAATAAAATACCTAGGAATCCAACTTACAAGGGACGTGAAGGACCTCTTCCAGGAGAACTGCAAACCACTGCTCAATGAAATAAAAGAGGATACAAACAAATGGAAGAACATTCCATGCTCATGGGTTGGAAGAATCAATATCGTGAAAATGGCCATACTGCCCAAGGTAATTTATAGATTCAGTGCCATCCCCATCAAGCTACCAATGACTTTCTTCACAGAATTGGAAAAAACTACTTTAAACTTCATATGGAACCAAAAAAGGGCCCACGTCGCCAAGTCAATCCTAAGCCAAAAGAACAAAGCCGGAGGCCTCACGCTACCTGACTTCAAACTATACTACAAGTCTACAGTAAACAAAACAGCATGGTACTGGAACCAAAACAGAGATATAGATCAATGGAACAGAACAGAGCCCTCAGAAATAATGCTGCATATCTACAACTATCTGATCTTTGGCAAACCTGAGAAAAACAAGCAATGGGGAAAGGATTCCCTATTTAATAAATGGTGCTGAGAAAACTGGCTAGCCATATGTAGAAAGCTGAAACTGGATCCCTTCCTTACACCTTATACAAAAATTAATTCAAGATGGATTAAAGATTTAAACGTTAGACCTAAAACCATAAAAACCCTAGAAGAAAACCTAGGCATTACCATTCAGGACATAGGCATGGGCAAGGACTTCATGTCCAAAACACCAAAAGCAATAGCAACAAAAGCCAAAATTGACAAATGGGATCTAATTAAACTAAAGAGCTTCTGCACAGCAAAAGAAACTACCATCAGAGTAAACAGGCAACCTAAAAAATGGGAGAAAATTTTTGCAACCTACTCATCTGACAAAGGGCTAATATCCAGAATCTACAATGAACTCAAACAAATTTACAAGAAAAAAACAAACAACCCCATCAAAAAGTGGGGAAAGGACGTGAACAGACACTTCTCAAAAGAAGACATTTATACAGCCAAAAAACATATGAAAAAGGCTCATCATCACTGGCCATCAGAGAAATGCAAATCAAAACCACAATTAGATACCATCTCACACCAGTTAGAATGGCAATCATTAAAAAGTCAGGAAACAACAGGTGCTGGAGAGGATGTGGAGAAATAGGAACACTTTTACACTGTTGGTGGGACTGTAAACTAGTTCAACCATTGTGGAAGTCAGTGTGGCGATACCTCAGGGATCTAGAACTAGAAATACCATTTGACCCAGCCATCCCATTACTGGGTATATACCCAAAGGACTATAAATCATGCTGCTATAAAGACACATGCACACGTATGTTTATTGCGGCACTATTCACAATAGCAAAGACTTGGAACCAACCCAAATGTCCAACAATGATAGACTGGATTGAGAAAATGTGGCACATATACAGCATGGAATACTATGCAGCCATAAAAAATGATGAGTTCATGTCCTTTTTAGGGACATGGATGAAATTGGAAATCATCATTCTCAGTAAACTATCACAAGGTCAAAAAACCAAACACCACATGTTCTCACTCATAGGTGGGAATTGAACAATGAGAACACATGGACACCGGAACGGGAACATCACACTCTGGAGATTGTTGTGGGGTGGGGGGAGGGGGGAGGGATAGCATTAGGAGATATACCTAATGCTAAATGACGAGTTAACGGGTGCAGCACACCAGCATGGCACATGTATACATATGTAACTAACCTGCACATTGTGCACATGTACCCTAAAACATAAAGTATAACAATAATAAAATAAAATGTAGCACATACACACCATGGACTACTATGCAGCCATAAAAAATGATGAGTTCATGTCCTTTGCAGGGACGAAGCTGAAAACCATCATTTTCAGCAAAATATCACAAGGAAAGAAAACCAAACACTGCATGTTCTCACTCATAAGTGGGAGTTGAACAATGAGAACAGATGGAAATAGGGAGGGGAAAATCATACACCAGGGCCTGTTAGGGGCTGGGGGGTTGGGGGAGGGATAGTGTTAGGAGAAATACCTAATGTAAGTGACAAGTTGATGGGTGCACCAAATCAACATGGCACATGTATAACTATGTAACAAACCTGCATGTTGTGCACATGTACCCTAGAACTTAAAGTATAATAATAATTACAAAAAAAGAAGAAAAGAGAGAAGAATCCTAGACACACAATAAAAAATGATAAAGGGGATATCACCACTGATACAACAGAAATACAAACTACCATCAGAGAATGTTATAAACACTTCTATGCAAATAAACTAGAATATGTAGAATAAATGGATACATTCCTGGACACATACACCCTCCCAAGACTAAACCAGGAAGAAGTTGAATCCCTGAATAGACCAATAACAAGTTCTGAAATTGAGGCAGTAATTAATAGCCTACCAACAAAAACAGCTCAGGACCAGATGGATTCACAGCCGAATTCTACCAGAGGTAAAAGGAGGAGCTGGTACCATTCCTTCTGAAACAGTAGAAAAAGAGGGACTCCTCCCTAACTCATTGTATGAGTCCAGCATCAGCCTGACACCAAAGCCTGGCAGAGACACAACAAAAAAAGAAAATTTCAGGCCAATATCCCTATGAATATCAATGCAAAAATCCTCAATAAAGTACTGTCAAACCGAATCCAGCAGCACATCAAAAAGCTTATCCACCACAATCAAGTTGTCTTCATCCCTGGGATGCAAGGTTGGTTCAACATACACAAATCAATAAACGTAATCCATCACATAAACAGAACCAATGACAAAAACCACATGATTATCTCAATAGATGCAGAAAAGGCCTTTGATAAAATTTAACACCCCTTCATCCTAAAAACTCTCAATAAACTAGGTATTGATGGAATGTATCTCAAAATACTAAGAGTTAGTTATGACAAACCCACAGCCAATATCATACTGAATGGGCAAAAGCTGGAAGCATTCCCCTTGAAAATCAGGACAAGACAAGGATGTCCTCTCTCACCACTCCTATTCAACAAGATATTGGAAGTTCTGGCCAGGGCAATCAGGCAAGAGAAAGAAATAAAGGTTATTCAAATAGGAAGAGAGGAAGTCAAATTGTCTGTTTGTACAGGACAGGATTGTACATTTAGAAAACCCCATCGTCTCAGCCAAAAATCTCCTTAAGCTGATATGCAACTTCAGCAAAATCTCAGGATACAAAACCAATGTGCAAAAATCACAAGCATTCCTATACACCAATCATAGACAAACAGAGAGCCAAATCATGAGTGAACTCCCTTTCACAATTATTACAAAGTGAATAAAATACCTATGAATACAACTTACAAGGGATGCGAAGGACCTCTTCAAGGTGAACTACAAATGACTACTGACGGAAATAAGAGAGGACACAAACAAATGGAAAAACCTTCCATGCTCATGGATAGGAAGAATCAATGTCATGAAAATGGCCATAATGCCCAAAGTAATTTATAGATTCAATGCTATCCCCATCCAGCTACCATTGACTTTCTTCACAGAAGTGGAAAAAACTACTTTAAATTTCATGTGGAACCAAAAAAGAGCCCGCATAACCAAGACAATCCTAAGCAAAAAGAACCAAGCTGGAGGCATCACGCTACCTAACTTCAAACTATACTACAAGACCACAGTAACCAAAATAGCATGGTACTGGTACCAAAACAGATATATAGACCAAAGGAAAAGAGGCCTCAGAAATAACACCACACATCTACAACCATACAATCTTTGACACATCTGACAAAAACAAGAAATGGGGAAAGGATTCCCTATTTAATAAATGGTGTTGGGAAATCTGGCTAGCCATATGCAGAAAACTGAAACTGGACCCCTCCTTACATCATACACAAAAATTAACTCAAGATGGATTAAAGATTTAAACATGAGACCTAAAACCATAAAAATCCTAGAGGAAAACCTAGGCAATACCATTCAGGACATAGGCATGGGCAAAGACTTCATGACTAAAACACCAAAAGCAATGGCAACAAAAGTGAAAATTGACAAATGGGATCTATTTAAAGAGCTTCTGCACAGCAAAACAAACTGTCATCAGAGTGAACAGGCAACCTACAGAATGGGAGAAAATTTTTGCAATCTATCCATCTGACAAAGGGCTAATATCCAGAATCTACAAAGAACTTACACAAATTTATAAGAAAAAAAAACCATCAAAAAGTGGGCAAAGGAGATAAACAGACACTTCTCAAAAGAAGACATTTACGTGGCCAACAAACATATGAAAAAAAGCTCATCACTGGTATTAGAGTAATGCAAATCAAAACCACAATGAGATACCATCTCACGCCAGCTAAAATGGAGATCATTAAAAAGTCAGGAAACAACAGATGCTCGAGAGGTTGTGGAGAAATAGGAACACTTTTAAACTGTTGGAGGGAGCATAAATTAGTCCAACCATTGTGGAAGACAGTGTGGCGATTCCTCAAGGATCTAGAACCAGAAATACCATTTGACCCAGCAATCCCATTACTGGGTATACACCCAAAGGATTATAAATCATTCTACTATAAAGACACATGCACATGTATGTTTATTGCAGCACTATTCACAATAGCAACGACTTGGAACCAACCCAAATCCCCATCAATAATAGACTGGATAAAGAAAATGTGGCACATTTACACCATGGAAACTATGCAGCCATAAAAAAGATGAGTTCATGTCCTTTGCAGGGACATGGATGAAGCTGGAAACCATCATTCTCAGCAAACTAACACAAGAACAGAAAACCAAACACCGCATGTTCCCACTCATACGTGGGATTTGAACAATGAGAACACATGGACATAAGGAGGGGAACATCACACGTGGGGGCCTGTCAGGGGTATGGAGCTAGGGGAGGGATAGCATTAGAAAAAATACCTAATGTCGATGACGGGTTGATGGGTGCAGCAAACCACCATGGCACGTGTATACCTATGTAACAAACCTGCATGTTCTGCACATGTATCCCAGAACTTAAAGTATAATTTAAAAAAGAAGAAGAAGAAAGAAAGTACATGTAAGAAGGCCACTTCCAAAGTGACATGTCACTTCTACTTGGGCCTTCTGGAAACAAGCTCTCCCCACTTCATGTGTCCACTCCATGTATATAGGGGTCAAACTAATAACATTTATCTTGGGTTTTATATATGGAGAAAGAATCAAGTGTGATGTAAACAAAGCATAAGTGTGATGTAAACAAAGCATAAGTAAACAAATCAAGTGTAATGTAAGAAAAGCATGGACTATAGTTCTGTTCTGTATGTCCTGAGCTATCTACAACCTTAGCTTCCTCATAGGCAAAATAAAGGGGTTGGTCAATGTCATCTGAAAGGTGCCTCTCAACTCTAACACTCTGTGTGATAAATAGTGAGAACTTCATACAGCACAGGGAGCGAGATATACTGAGGGCTAAACGCGTGGCACCTATAGTGACTGGAAGCTAGGAGATGCCCAATATATATTTAGCTGATGGACTAACCTCCTGACTCATGCTGTCTACACTTGCCTCTATTTGGAGCTGGCTGGGTGCAGTGCCCAGGGGATCAGAGCTTACCTTGTTATGGCAGTGACTGCAACATTTAAAGCAGCTTCTCAAATTCAAATATGTACATGCATTTCCTGGGGATCTTGTAAAATGGAGATCCTGGTTTAGTAGGTCTGAGTGGGGCCTCAGATTCTGCATTTAAGTTTCCTTTTTTATTCATACATAATAATTTTACATATCTGTGGGGTATATGTGATATTTTGATACATGCATACAGTGTGTAATGATCAAGTCAAGGTAAGTAGGATATTCATCACCTCAAATGTTTATCATTTCTTTGTGTTGGGAACATCCCAAACCTTTTAGCTGTACAATACATTATTGCGAATTATAATCTGTGCTATTACACACCAGAACTTATTCATTCTAGAATTCTTTTTTGGATTGTTTACTGTTGGCATATATAAATGCTACTGATTTTTGTATGTTGATTTTGTGTTCTGCAACTTTACTTAATTTATCAGTTCTAACAGTTTTTTGGTGGATTCTTTAGGTTTCTCTAAATATAAGATCATGTCATCTACAAACAAAGCTAATTTGACTTCTTCCTTTCCAGTTCGGATTCCCTATATTTCTTTCTCTTACCCAATTGCTCTAGCCAGGACTTCCAGTATTATATTGAATAAAAGTGGTGGAAGTGGGAATCCTTGTCTTGTTCCAGATCTTAGAGGAAAGGCCTTCAATTTTTCCCCATTCAGTATGATAACTCTGGGTTTGTCATATATGGTCTTTCTATTTTGAGATATTCTCAAACAAAAGCCAATTTGATAAGGGTTTTTATTTTCATAAAGGGATGTTAAATTTTATCAAATGCTTATTTGGCATCTATGGAAATAGTCACATGATTTTGGTTCTCGGTTCTGTTAAGGTGATGTATCATGTTTATTGTTGTGAAATATTATGTTGAACCATCCTTGCATCCCTGAGATGAATCCCACTGGATCATGGTGAATGATCTTTTCAATATGTTATTGAATTTGGTTTGCTAGTACTTCATTGAGGCTTTTTGTATCTGCATTTATTATTGATATCAGCCTATTTTTTTTCCATTGTGTCCTTGTCTGGTTTTGGTATCAGGGTAATACTGGCCTTATAGAATGAGTTTGGAATATTCCTTCCATTGCAATTTTTTTTAAGAGTTGGAGTAGAATTAGTATTAGTTCTTCTTTAACTATTTGGTGGCATTTAGCAGTGAAGCCATTAGGCCCTGGGCTTTTTGTCGATAGAAGACTTTTCATTAAAGCTTCAATCTCATTACTTGTTATTGGTTTATTGAGGTTTTCTATTTATTCATAGCTTAATCTTGATCAGTTGTATATATCCAGGATTTGTCTATTTCTTCTAGGTTTCCCAATTTGTTGCCATATAGTTATTCGTAATAGTCTCCGATGATTTGTTGTATTTCTGTGGTTTCATTTGTTATGTCTCATTTTTTTCTGATGTTATTTATTTGGGTCGTTTCTTTTTCTTTTTTTTAATCTTTAATTTTTGTGGGTACTTAGTAGGTGTATATATTTATGTGGTACATCAGATATTTTGATACAGGCATGCAATGCATAATAATCCCATCATGTAAAAGGTGTATGCATCCCCTCAAGCATTTTTCCTTTGTGTTACAAAAAATCCAACTATACTCTTTATTTTTTAAATGTACAATTAAATTACTATTGACTATAGACACTCTGTTGTGCTAAATAATAGGTTTTATTCATTCTTTCTAACTATTTGTTTTGTGCCCAGTAACCATCTCCACCTCCCCACCACTCCCCTACTACCCTTCCCAGCCTCTGGTAACCATTCATCTACTGTCTGTCTCCATGAGTTCAGTTGATTTGATTTTTAGATCCCACAAGAAAAATTAGAACATGCAATGTCTGTCTTTCTGTGCCTGGCTTATTTTACTTAACATAATGACCTCCAGTTCCATCCATTCTGTTGCAAATGAGAGGAACTCATTCTTGCTTATAGCTAAATAGTACTCCATTGTGCATAAGTACCACATGTTCTTTATCCACTTACCTGTTGATGGACATTTAAGTTGCTTTCAAATCCTGGTTATCATGAACGGTGCTGCAACAAACATAGGTGTGCAGATATCTCTTTAATATACTGACTTCCTTTCTTTTGGGTATATACTCAGAAGTGGGATTGCTGGATAATATGGTAGCTCTATTTTTAGTGTTTTTTGTTTTGTTTTGTTTTTTGAGGGACCTCAAAACTGTTCTCCATGGTGGCTGTAATCATTTACATTCCCAGCAACAGTGTATGAGGGTTCCCTTTAATCCACATCCTCTCCAGCATTTGTTATTTCCTGTCCTTTGGATAAAAGCCATTTTAATTAGGGTAAGATGATATCTCATAGTTTTCATTTGCATTTCTCTGATGAACAATGATGCTGAGCATCTTTTCTTTTCCCTTTACTTTTTTTTTTTTTTTTTTTTTTGCTTTTCTTTTTCTTTTTCTTTTCCCTTTCCTTTCTTTTATTTTCTTTTTTTTTTTTTTTTCTGTGACAACGTCTGGCTCTACGGTCCAGGCTGGAGTGCAGTGGTGCCATCTTGGCTCACTGCAACCTTTGCCTCTGCCTCCAGGGCTCAAGCCATCCTCCCACCTTAACCTCCTGAGCAGCTGGGACTAGATGCAGGCATCAAAACGCCTGGCTAATTTTTTTTTTTTTTTTTTTTTTTTTTTGTAGAAATAGGGTTTTGCCCTGTTGCCCAGGCTAGTCTTGAAATTGTGAACTCAAACAATCTGCCCACCTCAGCCTCCCAAAGTGCTGGAATTACAGGCATGAGCCACTGTGCCTGGCCTGAGCACCTTTTCATATGCTTGCTTGCTTGCCATGTATACGACTTCTTTTCAGAAATGTCTATTCAAATATTTTGCCCATTTTTAAATCAGATTATTAGACTTGTTCCTATAGAGTTGTTTGAGTTACTTATACACTCTGGTTATTAATCCCTTGTCAGATGGGTAGTCTGCAAATATTTTCTCCCATTCTGTGGGTTATCTATTCACTTTGTTGCTTGCTTCCTTTGCTGTGTGGAAGCTTTTAACTTGACGTAATCCCATTTGCTCATTTTGCCTTGGATGCCTGTGTCTGTGGGGTATTACTCAAGAAACTTTTGCCCAGACCAATGTGCTGGAGAGTTTCCCCAATGTTTCCTTGTAGTGTTTTCATAGTTTGAGTCCTTAGATTTTGATTTGATTTTTGTGTATGGTGAGAGATAGGGGTCAAGTTTCATTCTTCTGCATATAGGTATCCTGTTTTCCCAGCACCATTTATTGAAAAGACTGTCTTTTCCCCAGTGTATACTCTTGCCAACTTTGTCAAAAATGAGTGGTATGTGAATTTGTTTCTGGGTTCTCTATTCTGTTCCATTGGCCTATGTGTCTGTTTTTATGACAGTAGCACGCTGCTTTGGTTACTATAGCTCTGTAGTATAATTTGAAATCAGGTAATGTGATCCCTCCAGTTTAGTTCTTTTTGCTAAGGATATCTTGGGCTATTCTAGGTCTTTTCTGGTTCCATATAAATTTTAGATTTTTTTTCTATTTCTGTGAAGAATGTCATTGCTATTTTGATAGGATTACATTGAATCTGTAATTGCTTTGTGTAGCATGGACATTTAAACAATACTGATTCTCCCAATCCATGAACATGGAATGTCTTTCCATTTTGTGCCCTCTTCAATTTCTTTCATCAGTGTTTTGTAGTTTTCATTGTATGGATCTTTCATTTCTTTCATAAAGTTAATTCCTATTTAATTTTATTTGTGGCTACTGTAAATGGAATTTTAAAAAATTTCTTTTTCAGATTGTTCACCATTAGCATATAGAAATGCTACTGATTTTTGTATGTTGATTTTGTATCCTGAAACTTTACTAAATTTATCAGTCCTAATTTTCTTTTGTGGAGTCTTCAGGTTTTTCCAAATATAAGATCATGTCAGACGAGGATAATTTGTCTTCTTTATTTCCAGTTTGGTTGTCCTTTATTTCTTTCTCTTATCTGATTGCTCTACCTAGGACTTCCAGTGCTATGCTGAAGAACAGTGGTGAAAATGAGTATCTTTGTCATGTTCCAGATCTTAGAGGAAAGGCTTTCAATTTTTCCCTATTAAGTATGGCACTAGCTGTGGGTCTTTCATATATGGCTTTCATTATGTCAAGGTATGTTCCTTCTATATCCAGATTTTTTAGGGTTTTTATTATTAAGAGATGTTGAATTTTATCAAATGTTTTTCCAGCATCAATTGAAATGATCATATGGTTTTTTGTCCTTCATTCTGCTGATATGTTGTATCACTTGGATTGATTTGCATATGTTGAACCATCCCTGCATCCCTGGTATAAATACTACTTGGTCATGATGAACAATTTTTTAATGTTTGTTGAATTAGGTTTGCAGGTAAAATATTTTGTTGAGGATTCCTGCATCAGTATTCATCAGAGATATCATTCTGTAGTTTTCTTTTTTTGATGTGTCTTTGTCTAGTTTGGGTATCAAGGTCATGCTGATGAATTTGGAAGTATTTCTTCCTCTATTTTTCAGAATAGTTTCAGTAGGATTGGTATTAGTTCTTTAAATGTTTGGCAGAATTTAGCAGTGAATCCATAGGGTTCCAGGTTTTCCTTTACTGGGAGAATTTTTATTATGGGTTTGATTCTTCACTTGTTATTGGTCTATTCAGGTTTTGGATTTCTTCGTGGTTCAATCTTGGTAGGTTGTATGTGTCTAGGAATTTATCCATTTCCTCCAGATTTTCCAATTTATTGGCATATGGTTTTTCATAGTAGCCACTAAAGATCTTTTGAATTTCTGTGATATCAGCTGTAATGTCTCATTTTTCCTGTCTCATTTTATTCACTTGGGTCTTCTCCATTTTTTTCTTAGTCTGGCCAAAAGCTTATCAATTTTGTTTCTCTTTTCAAAAACCAACTCTTTGTTTTGTTGATCTTTTTATTTGCTTCATTTTGAATTCATTTATTTCTGCCCTAATCTTGATTATTTCTCTGCTTATATTAATTTTGGGTTTGGTTTGCTCTCCCTTTTCTAGATCTTTGAGATGCATTGTCAGGTTATTTATTTGAAGTTTTTCTTCTTTTTTGATATAGGCACTTATAGGTATAAATTTCCCTCTTAGTACTGCTTTATCTATATCCCATAGGTTTTGGTATGTTGTGTTTCCATTATCATTTGCTTCAATAAATTTTTCAATTGTCTTCTAATTCCTTTATTGACCCATTGGTCATTCAGGAGCATATAATTTAATTTGCATGTGTTCGTGTAGTTTCCAAAATTCCTCTTGTTGTTGATTTCTAGTTTTATTCCATTGTGTGTGAGAAAAAGAAGATGTTTGATATAATTTCAATTTCTAAAAATGTTTTAAGACCTGTTTTGTGACTTAACATATGGTCTATCTTTGCAAATGACCCATGTGCCGAGGGGAAGAATGTGTATTCTGTAACTTTTGGATGAAACGTTCTGTAAATATCTATGAGATCCATTTGTTGTATAGTGCAGATTAAGTCTAATGCTTCTTTGTTGAGTTTCTGTCTGGGAGATCTGTCCAATGCTCAAAGTGAGGTGTTGAAGTCTCCAGCTAATGATTTCTATCTCTCTCTTTAGTTGTATTAATATTTGCTTCATATATCTGTGTCATCCTGTGTCAGATGCATATATATATTTACAATCATTATATCCTGTTGCTGGATTGACTCTTTATCATTAATGACCTTCTATATTAGTCTGTTCTCATGCTACTAATAAAGACATACCCCAGAATGATTAATTGATAAAGGAAAGAGGTCTAATTGTCTCACAGTTCAGCATGGCTGGGGAGCCTCAGGAAACTTACAATCGTGGCAGAAGGGGAAGCAAACACATCCTTCTTCACGTGGCAGCAGGATGGAGAAGAATGAGAACAAAGCAAAGGGGGAAGCCCCTTATAAAACCATCAGATCTCCTGAAAACTTACTATCATGAGAATATGATGGGGGAAACTGCCCCCAGGATTCAATTACCTCCCTCTGGGTCTCTCTCACCACATGTGGGAATTATGGGAACTACAATTCAACATGAGATTTGGGAGGGAACACAGCCAAACCATATCACCTTTTTTGTCTCTTTTTATAGTTTTTGTCTTGAAATCTATTTTGTCTAATATGAGTATAGCTACTCCTGCTCTTTTTTGATTTCTGTTGTCATGGAATATCTTTTTCCATCCCTTTATTTACATAGTTTATATGTAAAGTGTGCTTTTTTCACTTCAAAGGTTAAGTGTGCTTCTTGTAGGCAACAGATCATTGGGTCTTGTTTTTTCATCTATTCAGCCACTCTATGTCTTTAGATTGTAGAGTTTAATCCATTTATACTCAATGATATTCTTGATAAGTAGAAATTTACCCTGCCATTTTGTTATTTGTTTTCTGGTTGTTTTGTGGTCTTCTCTTCCTTATTTCCTTCCTTTCTGTCTTCCTTTTAGTGAAGGTGATTTTCTCTGTTGGTATGATTTAATTTCTTCCTTTTTATTTTCTTGTGTACCTGTTGTTTGTTTTTTTGATTTGATGTTACCATGAAACTTGCAAATACTTTCTTATAACCCATTATTTTAAACTGGTGATAACAATGATTGTATAACAAACATGTAAAAAGAAAGAAAACTAATAAAAACTCTACACTTTAACTTCATCCCCCTGTTTTTTAAGTTTTATTGTATTTGTATCTTATTAAACTATGTTTGAAAAGTTGTAGTAGTTATTATTTTTTATTAGTTCATCATTTAGTTTTTGTACTTAAGAGAGAAGAAACTTACACACCATGAAAGCAATGTTATAATATTCTGAGTTATTCTGTGTGCTTACTCTTATCAGTGAGTTTTCTACTTTCAGATGATTTCTTCTTGTTCATTAATATCCTTTTTTCTTTCAGATTGAAAGACTCCCTTTAGCATTTCTTATAGGGCAGGCTTGATGTTAGTGAAATCCCTCAGCTTTTGTTTGTCTGGGAAAGTTTTTATTTATCCTTCATGCTTGAAGGATATACACCAGATCTACTATTCTAGGGTCAAATATTTTTTTCCTTCAGCAACATTCTACCCTTATGTCTCTCTCTACCTCCTCTTTAAGGCCAATAACTCTTAGATTTGTGTGTTTTCTGAATCTTGTAGGGATGCTTCATTATTTTTTATTCTTTTTTCTCTTGTCTTTTCAGTGTGTTTTCAAATATCCTGTTTTTAAGCTCACTAATTCTTTCTCTGCTTGGTCAGTTCTGCTATTAAGAGACTCTGATGCATTATTCAGTACGTCAATTGCACTTTTCAACTCTAGAATTTCTGCTTGATTCTTTTTAATTATTTCAATCTCTTTGCTAAATTTATACCATAGGATTCTTTTTTTTTTTTTTTTTTTTTTTGAGATGGAGTCTTACTCTGTCACTCAGGCTGGAGTGCAGTGGCACAATCTCGGCTCACCACAACCTCTGCCTCCCAGGTTCAAGCAATTCTTCTGCCTCAGCCTCCCAAGTAGCTGGGATTATAGGCACCCACCACCACACCTGGATAATATTTGTGTTTTTAGTAGAGAGGGGGTTTTGTTGGCCAAACTGGTCTTGAACTCCAGACTTCAGGTGATCTGCCCACCTTGGCCTCCCAAAGTGCTGGGATTACAGGTGTGAGCCACCATGCCCAGCCTATCCCATAGAATTCTAAATTTCTTCTGTGTATTATCTTGAATTTTCTTTGAGTTTCCTCAAAACAGCTATTTTGAATTCTCCGTCTGAGAGGTCACACATCTCTGTTTCTCCAGGATTGGTCCCTGGTGGCTTATTTAGTTTGTTTGATTAGGTCATGTTTTCCTGAAGGATCCTAATGATTGTAGATGTTCCTTGGTGTCTGAGCATTGAAGAGTTTAGATATTTATTGTAGTCATCACAGTCTAGGCTTCTTTTTACCCATCCTTCTTGAGGAGGATTTCCAGGTATTTGAAGGGACTTGGGCCCCAAGTCCAATAATTTCATAGTATTTGCAGACTTGCGAAGGTAATTCCTTGGTGGTTTTGGATAAGATCTGGAAGAATTATCTGGATTACCAGGCAGAGACTCTTGTTCTTTTTCCTTACTTTATCCCAAACACATGGAGTCTCTCTCTTTGCTGAGCCATTTGGAACTAGGAATGTGGTGAAGTAAGCAGCCTGTGGCCACCACCACTGAAAGTATGCTGGGTCAGATCTGAACCCAGCAGAGCACTGAGTCTTGCCCAAGGCCTGCTGTAACCACTACTGAGATGTCACCTATGTTCACTTAAGGCCCTAGGGCTCTATGATCAGCAGATAGCAAAAGCCAGCCAGGTTTGTGTCCTTTCCTTCAGAGTGGCAAATTCCCCTAGGCCCTTGATGGGTCCGGAGATGCTGTCTAGGAGCCAGGGCTTAGAGTCAAAAACCTTAGAAGTTTGCCTGATGTTCTATTCTACTGCAGCTAAGCTGGCACTCAAACCACAATATAAAATCCTTCCCACTCTTTCTTCCCTTTTTCACAGCCAGAGAAGCCTCTCCCTGTGGCCACGACCACCAGTGGCCCATGGGGAGTTCTACCAGGCCACTAACAATGTTCACTTAAAGACCAACATCTCTTCAGTCAGCTTGTGGTGAATGCTGCCAGGCCTGTGGGCTCTTTTCTGCTTCAGAGTAGGTCCAGAAATGCTATCCAAGGGCCTAGGCCTGGAATCAGTCCATGGTTCTCTGTGTGCTGTTGTTTCTTGTGGATGCACATCTATGTCTTTGCTTTGAAGGATTAGTTATTCGTTCCAGTCTTCTCTGTTCAGTTTGTTTGTTTGTTTGTTTTATTGGATAGATTTGCTTACAGGTTCTTTACTGCCCAGTCACTGACTCCTTTTTGGCTCTAGGTGCACCTTAAGCCTATGTTTGCCTCAGCTCTAGTAAACAATCAGAGAGCTGCCTTTCCTGAATGAGGGAGGTCCCCCAAAAAATATTCTGGCAGTGTGGGAGGCTGGCTAGCAGTTCATGCCCAGGGGCCTGTGGGACAAACCTCCTACAGCACAGGGCTGCTGAATAACCATAGAAATGTGGCATCTTCTTTGGCTGAGTTACAGAGCAGAGTTTCCAGGGCTGGAAATGGGAGTCCTGCCTATCCACTTTGTCTCTGCTTGTCCTCAAGGATATTTCTTCCTTCAGGCATTCATGATGCTTTTTGTCAGTTAAGGTAGGGACAGTTCTCCTGCCAGGGAACCAAAGATGGTGGAGAAGCTGGTTGTACACCTCAGTTTCACTTTTTTTACTATAGAAAAAGTGAGTTTGGGGGACATTTTTCACACACTTGGTTACAGGGAGAAAGTAGGGAGGGGCATCATGAATGTGGAAGTCTAATTCTCTTACTGTCCACTCAGTTATTTTCACCTTTCTGTGGCCCCAGGGAGTATCTCAAGTTCATATTTGAGTTCTGGGATATTTCTGGTAACAATCTTGGTGCTGTATATTTAGTTTGGGTTTTCTGTTATGGGGGATGGGGAAGGTAAAGCCAGATTGCTTCTATGACACCATTTTGATTTTGGAATTGGAAGTCACTTATTCCTTTTACTTAACTCTATTTTCGTACCCATTAACCAGCTTCTTTTGATTCCCCTGTCCTGCCTACACTTCCTAGCCTCCAGTAACCATATTCTACTCTCTACCTTCATGAGATCAACTATCTCAGCAACCATATATGAATGAGAACATAGGGTATTTGTTTTTCTTTGCCTGGCTTATTTCACTTAACAAAATGTCCTCCAGGTCTATCCATGTTGCTGCAAATGACAGAATCTCATCTTTTATGGCTAAATAATCTTCCATTATGCATGTATACCATATTTTCTCTATCCATTCATCCATTGATGGACACTTAGAAATGCAGAATCTTGTCCACTATTCACAGTAGCCAAGTTATGGAATCAACCTAACAAGCTCCTGGTGGTACAGATACTGATGATTCCTGGGCCATATTTTGAGCAGCAAGTATTTAAAATACAGTAGTACCTGAATGCCTCTAAGTCAGAATAAAAGAAAAAAATAATAAAATACAATAGTAGGCTGTAGAGTTCAGATCTGTGATTTTCAAAGTAGGGTTCACAGTCAGACATAGGCAGTGAGGATCCTTTTATGGTGCAAATAAAGTATAACTTAATATATTTTAATTTTCATACACTAATAAATGCTGCTTAGTAGCAGGAGTTCCTACTGAGAAGATCCAATTACCTTGCAGTGCTTGGTAATTACGTAAAATGTGTTCATTCATTCAACAACTGCTATTAAGCATTGTCTGTGTGTGAGGCACTGATGTCGTCACTGGGAGTGACATCTGAACAAAACAAACAAAAACTCCCTGCTGTCATAGAGATTACATTTTAGCAGAGAAAAATATAATAAGATATGCATGTAGTTGGAATTCCTATATGTTTAGGAAAATATACTTTTTTTTTTTTTTGAGACAGAGTCTTACTTCATCACCCAGCCTGGAGTGCAGAGGCACAATCTTGGCTCACTGCAACTTCTGCCTCCTGAGTTCAAGCCAGCCTCCCAAGTAACTGGAATTACAGGAGCATACCACTATACTCGGCTAATTTTTTGTATTTTTAGTAGAGACATGGTTTCACCATGTTGGCCAGGCTGGTCTCAAATTCCTGGACTCAAGTGATCTGCCTGCCTCAGCCATCCAAAGTGCTGAGAATTACAGGTGCAAGCCACCATAACCAGCTCTTTTGTGATATTCTTTCTAAACATCTAGATCTGTATGAAGAAAGAATACAGAGGAAATAACAAATACTAGTTAATATATTAATGATAGAAAGTATTACCTCATCAAGATGTAGAGAGCTCTTGCACATGCATTGCCTGAGTATCAGATATAGAAGCTGAAAAAAATGTGATATATAGTACAAAACTATCCAGTCAATGATGAGCAAAACATAAAGGAGGCATGCTTCCAACATATTGAAAATAAAATGTATCAAGTAAATGTATCTTTTCTAAATATTTTTATTTAGAGAATAAAATCATGCTGCTAATAAAGACATACCCAACACTGGGTAATTTATTTTAAAAAAAAAAAGAGGTTTAATAGATTCACAGTTCCACATGACTTGGGGGACCTCACAAGCATGACGGAATGCAAAGGAGGAGAAAGGCATGTCTTACATGGTGGCTGGCAAAAGAGAGAGCATGTGCAGGGGAACTGCCCATTTCAAAACCATTAGATATCATGAGAATTATTCACTATCATGAGAATAGTATAGGAAAAATTCACCCCCCATGATTCAATTACCTCCCACCCTGTCCCTCCCATGACACATGGGGATTATTACAGTTCAAGGTGAGATTCAGGTGGAGGACACAGAGCCAAACCATATCAACTCCTATTCCCATAAGCCTCAATAATGTTTAAAGTGATACAAATGCCCTATAATCTAAAGAAAAATAGAAGCGTAGAAAATTTCATAAGAAAATTTTGGCCAGGCATAGTGACTTACAATTGTAATCTGAGCAATTTGGGAGGCTTAAGTGGGAGAATTGCTTGAGCCCAGGAGTTGGAGACTAGACTAGGCAACATAGGGAGACCCCCACCTCTACAAAGAAAAAAACAATTAAAAAATTAGCCAGCTTTGTGGCACGCACCTGTAGTTCCAGCTCCTCAAGATGCTGAGGTGGGAAGATTGCTTGAGCCTAGCAGGTCAAGTTTGCAGTGAGCAGGGATCACACCACTGCACTCCAGCCTGAGGTATGGAGTGAGATTCTGTCTCAAGAAAAAAAAATTGTAAGAAAATTTGAAATAAGCAGAAATGGTTATGGTTATTTTTAATAGAAATTATGCATTGTTTAGAGCACACTCTTCCAAGTTATTCGATGTAAGCCTTTCATCACCATTGAGCTATTTTAAACTTTTAAAAGTTGTAGGTGACTGATAGCAAAGCAAAATAATTGTCTATGCATAATTCTAGTCTATGGATATGCAATAAATTGTGTCTAGTGGAGGTTCAATTAACTTCCCTTCCCCATGATAGAAAGTCAGTTTTGCAACCACTTGCAAATTCATTTCAATATTCTTGATATATAAGTGTCTTCATTCTTTGGGTTCTCTCTCGAATCAGTTGAAAAAGTTTTTCCAATTCTCTCATTTAATTAATGAGTTGAAATCTTTGACATCTGTTCATTTTATATTCATAGGAGTCATGATGTTACTTTTTTGGAAAATTATCTTTTACAGATTTATGAAACAAAACACATCACCATTTTCAAGTTGAAAAGAAGCTTCAATTTTTACATAAATTGAATCTAATCATTCAATTAAATTTAAGTGAATTTACATATTCCTATTATATATTCCAAGCATAGCACTCTTGTATGAAAGCATTAATCCCTGGATAGATGGACTGACAGCTCAAGGTCATTAAATACACTGTTTTTCCATAGTGTCCCCAGTTTTGATAACTTCTGGCTGGAAAGTTTTCCAGGCTAGCTGTTTCAGGGCTAGGGAAATCTGGGATAAAGTCATAGAGAATGTGAATTCATTTGTCTTGCTTTGTAAATTAAAAGTCAAGATTGACAGTAATGTAATTTTAAAAATAATTGCTTGATGACAATTCAATAGCTATTATACCTGAATAATAATTTTACAATTTACATGTCACAAATAAGTGAAGAAAAAGAAATACACCCTCCAGCCCAATTCTTCACATTTGAAAAAATAGACTTCATTAAAATTAGAAACTTCTAAGAAAGACATTATTAAGATAATGAAAAGATATGCCATAAACTTGGAGAAAATATTTGGAAAACGTATACCTGATAAAGCACTTGTATTTGGAATATATAAAGAACTCTAAAAACTCAACAATATGAAAATAAACAATCCAACTAAAAAATGCAGAAAAGATCCAAACAGATATCTCACCAAAGAAGACATACAGAAGGCAAATATGCATACAAAAAGAAGTTCAACATCATATCTATAGAGAATTACAAATTCAAACAACAATAAAATATCACTACACACCTGTTAGAATGGGTAAAATCAACACCAAATGCTGACAAGCATGTGAAATGATAGTAGGTCTCACTCACTGCTTGTGGTGTAAAATGGTTCTGCAATTTGGAAGATAGGTTTGCAGTTATCCAGAAGCTCAAATTATGTCTATAAATATTTCATATGTAATATTCAACTCTCAATAAAAAATTTCCAGGTATATGAAGAAACAAAAGGTTATAAACAAAAGCTTATTAAAACGAAGAGAAACAACAGACAGTAGAAACAGACAAGTTGGGAGTACAGATGGTGGGTTTTTAAATATTCATGCTTAATATGCTCAAGAAATAAATGAAAAAATTGTAAATGTTAGTAGAAAACTGAAAATTTTAAGGAAAAAACAAATGGAAATTCTAGAACTGAAAAATACAATTGATATTAAGAAGTCAGTGGATAGATTTTACAGATATAGTTAAATAAATAGTGAACTGTAAGATACATCAGAAGAGAATATTCAGAATGAAGAAGAGCAATAAATAGCAAAAAACATAAGAGACATAGAGATAAAAATAGAAGGTACAAGTAATTGGAGTCTGATGTGCTTGGCTCTGTGTCCCCACCCAAATTCCATGTAGAATTGTAATTCCCATGTGATGAAGGAGGAGCCTAGTGAGAGGTAACTGAATCGTGGGGGCAGACTTCCTCCTTGCTGTTCTCATGATGCAGCTCTCATGAGATCTGGTTGTTTAAAAGTGCACATCACTTCCCCCTTTACTCTCTCTCTCCTGCTCTACCATGTGAAGAAGGTGCTTGCTTAGCCTTTGCCCTTCTTCCATGATTATGTTTCCTGAGGCCTCTCCAACCATGCTTCCGCTACAGTCTGCAAAACTTTGAGTCAATTATACCTCTTTTCTTCATAAATTGCCCCGTCTCAGGTAGTTCTTTATGTCAGTGTGAGAATGGACTAATACAGAGTCATAGAAGAAGAGGAGAGTGAAAAAAAATCACAAGAAGAGGAGATTGAGAAAAAAATAAGAAGAGGAGAGTGAGAAAAAAACAATAAAGAAATAATTTCTTGAACCCGGGAGGCAGAGGTTGCAGTGAGCCAAGATCAGGCCACTGCACTCCAGCCTGGGTGACAGAGCGAGACTCCATCTCCAAAATAAAAAATAAAACAAAAAACAATGGTTGAGAATTTTCCAAAACTAATGAAAGACATTAACCCACAGAATCAAAGAGCTGTATTCAATCTAAGAAGGAATAAAACACAAACAGTAACACTTCTAAGTGCATTTTTTTTTGCTAAAAAAATAAAAAAACAAAAAACAGAAAATATTTTTTAAAAAAAAGTCAGAAGGGACCTCAACAAAATACTAGCAAACCAAAGTCAGCAGCTAATGAAAAGGATTATACACTATGACTAAGTGGGATTTGTTCCTGGAGGGTGTTCAAAATACAAAAATCAAACAATGTAATATACCATATTAATAGAATGAAGATAAAAATCTCACATGTTCATCTTAACTGATGGAAATTAAGCACTCAACAAAATTAAATACCCCTTACTGATATAAATTACTCAACATAATAAAGCCTACACAGTAGATATTACTTGTATTGGTTCATGTTTTATACAGTCAGTGTTTATTTGTATACCAATTTCATTTTTCACTGTTCCTCTTTCTTCTCAAACTTCCTTTCTGGATTTAATTTTTTCTTCCTGGAATTCGTCCTTGAGAATTCCTTTAGTAAGGCCCATTGATGTTAAACTCTTTCCAAGTTTTGTTTTTATGAAAAATATATTTTGCTCTCATTTGTGAAAAACTTACATGATTCTATGTTGAATTATTTTGTCTCAGCATGTAGAAGATACCATTCTACTGTCTTCCATCTTTTGTTATTGCTATTGAGAATTCTGCTGGTCTAACTGCTTCTTTGAAGTTACTCTCTTTGACTGTCTACCTCCTTTAAGTACCTTTTAAACTTTCAGATTCTGAGTTTTACTAAATGTATCCAGATGGCATTAAAAAATTTTTTTCTGCCTTGGGTTTCATTGCATTTCATGAATCTCCAAATTCATGCCCTTCTCTCTCCTTAAAAATTTACCAATCCTGAACTATTGCTCAAATAAATATAATCTCTAAATATTTCCTATTTCCCATTTTATCAATTCTCTCCTTTTGAAAACTCCAATTAATTTTTTTATTAAACCTTCTCATTATATCTGCCATGTTTCTAAAACTCCTTTCCTAGATAATTTCTTCTTGACTATATTCTAGTTCACTACTTCTCTCTTCATTTGTATCTAATGGGCTATTTAACTGTTACACTGATTTTTTTTCTGACCATAATTTTTAATTTAGGAAGTCTGGTTGAACATAAAGGAAGCCTATACACTGGAATAAATATGAAGCTGCTGCATATGATTCTTATTCCAAAATAAGGCCTAATCAGCATTAGGCTGAGATCTTCATTGGTGGCATAAGAAGTTCAACCACTTGAGTGGACATAATCTCCAAGGTGGAATGGACCTGGTAATGGACTGGATGACATGCTGGACTTTAGGAATATCCACAAATCTGCATGAGGTCTCTCCTGCTACAGGCCATTGGTGTGGAAGAGAAGATTTTTCTAATTGAGGTTGATTATGGAATGAAATTAAAGGGTGGGAAGGAAAGGTTTTCACATATGATCAGAGAACAGAGATACCACTGTGTGGTCACCAACAAACTTTGTCCCCTTCTTCCTCTCCCTCTCTCTCCTACTTTTTTCTCTTCCTCCTCCTTGTTTGGAGAAGCAGTTCAAAGCAGATTCACCACTTCTTGGGGCAGACATGAGCATAGGCATCTTACCCAATTGAGTTGGATACTTGCAGTTCAGGTCATATTTAAATAATGGTTGGGAAAACAAATAGTGTGGCTCCTTCTAGTAGGAACTTCACCTGCTTTTGTCTTCGACACTCTTTTTCTTGATCAGCTTTTCCTCCTTTATATATCTTTTTACAATTTGTTCAATCTCTGTTCAATTTGCAGAACAGACACCACACCCTCAATCCAAGAACTGTGCAGACATTCCTGGAAGTTCAAATACTCAGCTTTCTTCGTAAAGCAAAATGGATTTGCTCCTTGACCACATTCATGCACTTTATTTCTAGAGGGCTCTGTAAATCTTATTAAAGTTGATCTTGTCCTCAGGCCTAATCAGCATTAGGCCGAGGTCTTCATTGGCAGCATAAGCAGTTCAACCACTTGAACGGACATAAATCTCCAAGGTGCAATGGACCTGGTAGTGGATGGCATGCTGGACTTTAGGAGTATCCAGATCCTAAGCTGCCACATCTGTTCCCAGGAGAACAGTCTTCCATACAGGCAAGCCACTCCAGGTATCTGACTCTCTGCTTGTGGTGCATGCGAGTATGTAGGGTCAGCAGCATTTAGGACTTTGAGGAGCCTAGAAAGGTGTGTGATGTAAGAGATGTTGTTGGCAAACACTAAGGTGAGGCCTGGATACTGCATCAGGAAGTAGTACAGGTGGAAGTCTTTCTCATCAGTCTCATAATGGATCTTGGTATCTGTCAGCAACTCCATTGTGACTTCATTGCTTGTGGGGGTCAATGACCTTGGACTTGCCCCTCGTGCCAACCTTCTGCATGAGAAGGTCGAGTTTGGCAGTTTTGTCCATTTTCTTGGTGTGCTTCTTATAAAGGATTCATGCAGCAGCTTGATGTACCAGCATCACTGCGACACAAAAATCCAAGTGTCTGTCTCTCTGGGTTGTATTGGGAGTCATGAACATCTCTAGCAACTGTGAGAGCTCAGCAAAGTAGCCTTTCTCAATCATCCAGTCAGCCCCATCTACCACCAGGCACCTGAACTGCTGAAGGCTGCTCAAATGAAGGTGATTTTCTTTAACCAGCTCCCACAGTCAGCTTGAACGGCTGATCACAATATCAGGCTGACACCTGAGCATCCTCTGCTATTTGTGCATGAATATGCCACCGAACAAAATAGCAGTTTTAATTCCCATAAACTTGGCTGCAGCATCAAAGGGTTATTAGACCTGGATGGCCAGTTCTTAAGTGGGAATCAGGACCAGTCCAAGCAGGTGATGTTTTAGATGTCCTTTACAGGTAGCAACTTTGCCATTCAACTCTTGTTTTGACATTCCAGTTTGCTCTTTATCAAGCCTTTCCTCTTTGTCCTCATGCCTTGTTAAGGGAAGAAAGTTCTTTACCAGCATCATCATCATAGAAGAACAGCACCTGGTTTGAGGGGGAAGCTCTGGTCTTTGCTCTGGCCTTGTTGGGTGGTACTCTAGCCTTAGCTCAGCTTCACAGGGGAGTATTTCACTCTCGATTCCAGTCTCATCAGGCAACATTCCCGACTCAGTTCCAGCCTTGCTTAGTGATCCAGTCTCAGCTCTGGACTCAGTTCTGGGCTCTCCAGGTGGTATTTAGTGTTACTTGGAGTTAGGGCAAGCTTACTACTCCAGCACTGCCAATACTGCTTGAATCACTGGAATGACAAAGACAAGAGTTTTCCCATATCCTGTCTCAGCATCCCCAAGGATGTCTAGTTTGTCACAGATGACAGGTGTCAAAGTCAGGGCTTCTTAGACTGGTGTAGGTGCAGAGAAACCTAGAAAACCTGCTGCTTGGAGAATGGCTTGGACATAAAAAGTCCTTCAAGCTGATACATTCACCTTCTAGTCAGGCATCAGTGTCTTTGCTTTTTGGGGCACCTTTGGGACAGTGCCATGGGGAGGCTTAATTTTTTCCCTTTTTCTTCTCTTTTGGAACAATCTGGGCCGGGCTTTCTGATGCCCTCTCCTCTCCTCTGGGTCAGGACAAATCATACCATCTCCGATTTGGCTCTGGTTCAGCATCTTTGACTTCAAACTCTTTCTGGACACTAATTCCTTCAGTTTCCACATCTTTACTTTTCTTCAACTTGATCATTTTCTTTGAGGAGCTACACTTTACTTCCTCCTCTTCTCAAACAGCTGGTGCCTTTTTCTTCTTGGATGCCTCCTTTGAGAAGAGACTGGAGGAATTCTTGGCAGAGGGGACCAACCAGTAATCTCAGTTCCTCAAAGCATACCACATCAGCCATCTGTCCACTTACAAACATATTTGGGTCTACCTTCACTTGCTTCCATTTCCCCACAATCTTGATTCCTTTCATCTGAAACTTCCAATAGTTTGATGGTTTTGATCTTGATTTTGTCTCCTTCAGCTTCATGGTTGCATTTGGAGATGGTTATCACAGCTCCTTCAGATGCTGGCTGCCTCCTCCACTGAGTTTTAATTATCATATTTTTCACTTCTAAAAATTTTGATTCCTTTTCAAATTTCTTTATTTTTAGTGCAAACTTTTCATTAAATTATGATACATAGACAGGCCGGGCACAGTGGCTCATGCCTGTAATCCTAGCACTTTGGGAGGCTGAAATGGGTGGATTGTCTGAGCTCAGAAGTTTGAGACCAGCCTGGGCAACATGGCGAAACCCCATCTCTACTAAAAATACAAAACATTAGCCAGTTATGGTGGCACATGCCTGTAGTCTCAGCTATTCTGGATGCTGAGGTATGAGAATCGCTTGAACCCCAGAGGCGGAGGTTGCAGTGAGCTGAGATCACATCACTGTACTCCAGCCTGGGGAACAGAGCAAAACTCTGACTCAAAAAAAAATTATGACATACAGAAAAGTGCACACATTATGAATATAGCTTGATGAATTTTCACAAAGTGAACACATCTATGTAAACCTCACACAGATCAAGAAATGGAACATTCCCAGAAATCCAGAAGTTATCTTGTGCTCTTTCTACTCTTCTCATGGTAAGTTTTACATGGTTCAGAACTTTATATACATCTAATCATACAGTAATTCCTCTTTTATAATCTACATCTGATAATTCCATTATTTGAAATACTTAGGATCTAACTTATTTGTTCATTCTATTGACTTTTTAAAAATTTTTGGATTTTGAGCTCATGTATAGAGGGAGTTCTGTGAGGAATCATTCCAGGGAAGATCAGTCTTGTTTCATCCAAGATTCCCAGGAAGTTACCAACTCAGAATTCTTTAAGTCAACTTCTGGCCTCAGGATTTCTAGGGCCCAAACACAAGTTCAAACTCCACTCTACATGAATGTAAGATTATGGTTGCAAATTCTCAAGGGGACGTTTTTCATCTTGAGCTAAGTCCTTGAAAACCAAATAACCTTTTAATTTCCTTTGACTAAGGGGTAGATTTTCTATCTCTTCCTTTCATTGAAAATGTGATCATTTGAGAATCTTGGTTTTATGTAACTGTCTTAGTTCCAACTCCCTACCTTACATGAACCAAAGCCTTGTCACTTGTCCTCTATTTAACTTAAAATTAAAGGTGTTTCTGCTTAACCACAAGATATAATTTAGCAGCACCAATGATAATATAAACTGTTATCATGAGCTTCCTAATATGATGAATGAGAAATATACATTACTAATGTAGGAGTTTGGCTACAAATGTTTAACCTGAATCTAATAATGAGAAAACAGACAAATCCAGATTATGGCACATCCTCTAAGACATTGACAAATGGCAATGTTAAAAAAGTTCAGAAATTCTCTGCAAAGACTTAATGTTTTTCTTCTTAAAATTCAGATTTGAGAAATAATTTGTTTAGGATGTGGTGTGGAAGGATAGAACAATGGCCCTCCCAAAGATGTTCACATCCTAATCCCTGAAACCTGTGAGTACATTAAATTACATGGCAAGGAGGCATTGAGATTGCAGATTGAATTAAAGTTATTAATTAGCTGACCTTGAAATACGGAGATTATCCTGGATTATCTGAGTGGGCCCAAGGTCATCACAAGGGTTCTTAAAAGGGAAAGAGAAGCAGAAGAGACCCAAAGAAATGATATTGTGAGAGGAACCCAGCCTGATATTGCTGGCTTAGAAGACCAAAGAATGGAGTCATGAACCAAGGAATGTGATCGCCTCAAAAGCTGGAAAAAAAAACAAAAAACAGATTCTCTCCTAAAGACTCCCTGCCAACACCTTGATTTTAGCTCAGTGTGACTTATTTTGGACTTCTGACCTCTAGACCTGTAAGATAATTTATTCTTTTAAGCTAATACATTTTTGATAATTTGTTATAGAAGCAATAGGAAATTACTAAAAATTAGATGTGAGGGAGAAGAAATCACCAAAAGGATTAGTGGAATGGAGGTGCAACTCACAGAAATGGTGAAGCCCTGTGATGAAGCCTTCCCAATGAGGTTTGGGAAAGAGGAAATGAATTTAATTTTGAGCACAAACCTGGGACAAGAGGCAGCCTCATGAGGGGCACAAAGCAGCCTCTTTCTTATTACAGCTCTGCCTCTTTCAAGCTGTTCCAACTTGGACAAGATACATAAACCCCGTGTCTCAATCTCTTTGCCTGAAGTGGGGATAATAATAGCACCCTGATAATAATAATGCCCTACTTCATAGGGTATTATATAGAGGAATAAATGGGATAATTTATGCAAGGTCTTTTTACTTGGCATGTGCTCAAATGTTGGTTAATAATGATGATGATGATGATATAGAAGACACACTTCTGTGCAGTGTTTTAGTCACCACAGGCCACTAAACAACCATGTTTCATGACTATATGGTCAGTATAGGAATGAAGAATGTAAATTACCTTGCTTCCTTGTTTACGAGGGTTGTCAACTGTACTATTTAAAATATTCTAGACGTGTGTATATATGCAGATGCAACTTCATTCATTTTGAAAAGTAATTCTGCCTTTATTTTGATTAGTTTCTTTGGGTGTAACTTGTTACTTGCTTTCTGCGCCCCACCCCCACCCGCCTTCTGTTTTTGTTTTTTGAGATGGGGTCTTGTGATGTTGCCCAGGCTAATCTTGAACTCCTTGGCCCAAGTGACCCTTCCACCTTCCACCTCAGCCTCCCAAGTAGCTGAGATTACAGGTATGTGCCACCATGCCCAGCTGCATTCATTTTTATTTTATTTTAATTTATTTATTTAGAGACAGTGTCTCACTCTGTTGCACAGGCTGGAGTGCAGTGGCGTGATCTCGGCTCATTGCAACCTCCACCTCCTGGCTCAAGCGATTCTCCTGCCTCAGCCTCCCAAGTAGCTGAGATTACAGGCATGTGCCACCATGCCCAGCTGCATTCACTTTTAATTTTCTTTATTTAGAGATGGTGTGTCACTCTGTCACCCAGGCTGGAGTGCAGTGGCACGATCTCGGCTCACTGTAACCTCCACCTCCCGGCTCAAGCGATTCTCCTGCCTCAGCCTCCCAAGTAGCTGGGATTACAAGCACCAGCCACCATGCCTGGCTAATTTTTTCTATTTTTGGTAGAGACAGGGTTTCACCATGTTGGCCAGGGTGGTCTCAAACTCCTGACCTCAGGTGATCCACCCACCTTGCCCTCCCAAAGTGCTGCAATTACAGGCGTGAGCCACCATGCCCAGCCATGCATTGATTTTTAGAATTGATATTTTGTTCCTCTTTTAAGCCAGACTTTCGATTTGCTTTTACAATATCTATGCAGCTGGCCTAAAGTCCAGTGAGAATGTTATCCTCTGAGAGCACTGGAGCTGGGAAACAACTGTGTCCAATCCTGTGGCCTGGACCTACAGAAGGGTAGAAAGTGTACAGCTGCAGGAGATACTAAAATGCAACTTGCTTAAGTAGGACTTATTATCACTATACCCTCTTTCCATTAAAAGCTCCATGTCCTTCTAGGGCTGTGCTTAAAAGACTACATTTTCTCCTTGAAAATAGAGCTCCTCCACCCTGGGGTAAAGGGCAGGTATGTACACATTTCTGGAAGTGAGTTTATCCTAGTTGCTAATTAAACACAAAGTTTGACAAGGTGCTTGTCCTAAAAGAGCTCAAAGTCTGGTGGAAGACTGGCACTCAAACAATTAACAAACAATGATATAAAAAGTTTGTTTCAAGAAGAATGAGACCAAGTGCTTCACTTTAACTGGGGAGACCCATGGAACAAGGGTGGCAGCATGACAAAGCGCAATCCTCCAGAGGGAAGTGTAAACCAAAGTCCTCTGGTAAATGGGAGGTCTGTTTCCCAATTCCTATCCACTACTTTGTTATGTATTAAACTTACTCCATTTTCCAAAAAGTATATAGAATAAAGTGACTCTCAATCAGTTAGAACCCAAGGTTGTAAAAGAATGCTATTTTTCAACTCTGGATGGAAAGATCTTACTGACGAACCTCTGGGCTGTTTCCAGTTTGGGGTTATTTTGAATAACCTGCCATGAACATTCATCTACAAGTCTTTGTGAACATGTTTTTATTCATCTCAAATAAACACCTAAGAGTAGAATTTCCTGGTCAAGGACACGTGTACGTTTAGTTTAAAACTTTTATTAGCAGGTACTCAACAGAGATGAAGTGAGATTGTTTAAAAACATGTTGGCTAAAATGAAAAGATTTTTTCTTTTTGTGATCACATCAGGTATCTGCCAAGGATAGCAATTTTACTTAAATTTTTTTTAAAAAACTTTTACTATAATTTCCAAAACTGGAATCTCCTCTAAATCAAGGAGAATGTCTTAACTGACATGTGAGAGAGCTATTCATTTGTAAACTGTTGCTCTACTGGATCCACTCTGCCATGTTGTGCCATTATTAACATCCTATTTCATACCTCTTTTTAACTGAGTCCTCTGCTCTTCGACATAGAATGATTGTTTGGTTGGGGAAACTTGTCATAAAAGAAATTCAAACTATTGGCAAAATCCTAGGATGTACCCTATCAAAAGCTTTTTGTTGATCACCTCCCTCCCCTATCAAAAAACTTTTTTTCCAGGTCAAAAATAGTCCTTTCATTCTGAAGGAGAAACTTCTTTACCGGTCACCTTAGTAATATTCTAGGATTTTATCCTTCCTGCTCTTATTTCTAAGACATTTGCTTGCAACCTAAGTAGCCTGTGATGCAGGATCTCCAAAGTGTTTCTTTCCCTGTTAACTTTAATGAGTTAACTCATTAAACACTCCAACAGAGCAATGCCAAATTATCTAAACTGGTAACAGATACCGCTAATCCAAACATTAACCAACTGCCTGTAGAAATTGAGGCTATAGGCTGGGCGTGGTGGCTCATACCTGTAATCCCAGCACTTTGGGAGGCTGAGGCAGGTGGATCACGAGGTCAGGAGTTTGAGACCAGCCTGGCCAACATAGTGAAACCCCATCTCTACTAAAAATACAAAAATTAGCCGGGCATGGTGGCACGCACCTGTAGTCCCAGCTACTCGGGAGGCTGAGGAAGGAGAATCACTTGAACCTGGGAGGCGGAGGTTGTGGTGAGCCGAGATTGCACCGCTGCACTCCAGCCTGGGGGACAGAGCAAGACTCCGTCACAAAAAAAAAGAATAAAAAAAAGAAAAAACTGAGGTTATAACCCACATGTGTTAGAACAAGGACTTAGGATGCCATCCGCAGGGCACTTTTGAGACTAGACTGGCAAACCACCAAAGCTGAGATGTCAGGGCCCCTGTAGGCTTTATTTGCATATGTCTTAGTACGTTCTTAACCTTTGATTAGAGGGTGGAAAATAAAAGATTTAACTTGCCAACCAAAACTTTCAGCAACGTAGAATACTGAAGTCAGATTCTGTCTGTTGGAAAACTAGAAAGAAGACTCCTGGTTTAAACAGGGATTCTAGAAAGTCAGAAAGGAGACACTGTGCTATTAACTGAAATGGACACAGGCATGATTTCCTATGTTACAGTACCTGCCATCAGAAAATCTCAGTACCCTTTATGAGAAGGCCCTGAGAAAAAGCTTTTTTGTAATTGGAAAGAAATTATAAGATAGAAGGCAGAATTCTCCATGTTTTAGTCAAAGATTCTCCTGTGCATTTATACAAAGCTTTCACCTAAAAGTCAAGACAGCACATTCTTGTCATTGAGAATTCAGAATAGAGAGTCTGAAAGTACAAATACATTCTTATACTAACATTAGGCTCTTAGAGGACATAAATCTTTTTATAAAAAATTTATTTCTCTGTAAATACAAATTCCAACATCAACAAACAATAGTCCAGTGGAAAAATACTAGCCATTAACATTGAAAACTTTTTTCTTAATTTAATAAATAGAACTTTGGCATTCAAAATTCTAGCTGTAAACCCTATTAAAAAACAGAACAACAAGAAGAAAACCCCTTTACAAAAAAAGAGGCAAGAATGATAGATCAGAAGGCATAAGCCAACCAGTGGCTTCACATTCTTTTTTTTTTTTTTTAAACAATAACTGTATTTCAATTAAGTCATGAACACTGTATTTACACATGAGGTATTCTGGGTGGTTCAAAAACTGAACCCAGCTTACAAAACCACCAGTCATAGTGACTGATTATACACTGTGCTGTGCTTTTTAATGTAACCACCTAGCACCTTACTACTTCTTGTCATCACAACAATGCGATGTTAAGTTTTATGTTTATGTATTTAACTATTTATACATATATGTACATATACATACACACCAATGAATACAATCTAAAGGAGTTTCCAGCTCACTACACAGGGAAGGCTGGGCTCCAAAGACATCTATCTGATAATTCCCCTCATGTTTACTAAGGTATCCACCTAGTAACAAAAAACGGCTCCTTGCTTTAAAAAAAAAAATTCCTTAATCAAGTTTATATACAGAAGAACAAGGTGCAATAATCATCAACATTCTTAGAACTCATGTAAAATAGAAATAAATGCTTACTGCAGGCAAAAAGGCACAAAAGGTTCTCTCTGTGTACAGCTGCAATAGTGTTATTAGACTTGCTGATTTAAAACTATATTCTTATATTTAGCACTTTTTTAAATAAGAAAAAAAATCCAAAATCTTTCCCATACATGATTAAATATATGATATAATCATATGGCAATATGCCACCCATGGCATTTTGGGGCAAAGTTGGAAATTTTGCTCTTTATACCAAATAGGAAATTGTTCCTGTTGTTTTGTGAACATGAATTGTCAAAAATGGAAACATGGCAGTTTCAAATGATATAGTCTGAGTGAGCATGGTTATGAAAATTGCTTATTACCATAATTACATATCTACAATGATATAATTCCTACGTAAGAGAATGCCAATAATCCAAACTAAAGGTGTGCCTAAGCTGAACTATGCTGTGAAAATATAGTCCATGTTCTTAGCTACTATGTTACTTAATGAACTATTACTGATATTTAAAGAACATTTTCCCAATTAAGTAGCTCCTTTAAAAACATCCTCTAAGAAATTAATAATTCTTGCACTATGAAAGAATTACTTTATAAGCTCCTTAGTATATCAGAAATGTATGACATTCATTTTAGCAACACTTTCCAGCCCTTGAGATTGTCTCTACAACAAGCTATTGAAAGAAGTCTAATTAGGTTTAATAAACTGTCACCACCAAAATAAATTTCACTAAAATATAATACTGTTAGCATTAAATATTGAATCCTAGGTGCCACACTTCTTTTAAAATGACCTCAGGAATATCTTACCTAGCCAGTATTTGTGGTTTTTTGTTTTTGTTTAATTAGAGGCCACTGAAAATTAATAGTTCAAATTAAGCCATTTTACTTTTCTGAGCTCAAGTGAAAAGATAGCTATTGTGCCTTTGATTCAGTGAATTTTATCTGTACAGGCAATTTGGGTCTTTCATTGAGTCAACTGTTACTTTATGCTTGCTGTAATGTGATTGAGGCTGAATAAGCTCAACTTTAAAACCCAAAAGAACAAAATATTAATACTGGATAAGATACTTTCTAAGCAAACAAGTGTTGGATTCACAAAAAGCACAATTAAAACGAGGTTTCATTATCTAAGTAAATTTTCAAATAGATTCACTTTAAAATTTAGGTTAATTTTCATTTCAGGAATATATTGGTGTCATAACTTCCACGAACATCCTAGTTCAAACTGGGTGAGATGCTCTAGTGTTGCTATTTGCCCATCTTATTTGGTCTAACAGTAAAATCTGTTTTTAATGTGATACAGAAGAGGATATTCTAATACAAGAGGGTGTCCTGGGAAAGGAAAATTTTCTGAAAAATAAAAATCAAAAAGTAAATACTGACAAACTAGATAGAATACTATTAGTTTCAATTCCCCCACAAAATCCCTCCAAGTCTATCTACTGTTTATGTAGGCCCCTTTACAAACTCCAGATTTTAAGAGGATCAATCTATAATTCAGCTAACTACTTAAACTAGCACATCTTAACTCCCTTTTTTATGGGGGGAGGGTACAGATTTTGGAAACTGAAATGCATCAGCAGTAGTTTTGTTAACTTCCTACTAAGTCAGAAATTTTTTAACTTTGGAATTTTATTTTTAAGATACGTGAATTAAATTACTTTCTCTAAGTTTTAGAAAGCTAACTTACAAATAAATTATTTTATCCCCAACTAAGCCAAAAAACAAAAACGTATCTATAGTAGATTAAAACAAACTGTAACGTCTGCTTAAAAAAAAAAAAATAAATAAACCCATAAAATCCCAAAACATACACTAAAAATCTAGGAGAGATATTTAAGTAAGAACCTACTGGTCCAATTAGTGATTGTTTGCCAATTTGTTCTATTATTTTAGGA
Source organism: Homo sapiens (assembly GCF_000001405.40). Lineage (NCBI taxonomy): Eukaryota > Metazoa > Chordata > Mammalia > Primates > Hominidae > Homo > Homo sapiens. The sequence goes on from NC_000006.12 coordinate 118,463,377, forward strand.
AGCCTTTATTTCTAAAATCATGGGGGAGGGTGGTTGGGATTCTATTCAAAGAGAGTGTAAAAATATTTGCTGCACTTGTGGCTGATCTATTTTAGACGTTATTATCTGTTTTACCATAAAGGACCAAGGCAGAATTCTTCGCATCACATTTTTGGTGGAAATTTACTATACCCTGATTATCGTCAAGCTACTAATGTTAAAAACCAAGTGAATATAATTAGAAAGCCAAGTTCTTACCAGTGACTAAGACCCTCCTTAGGTTAAGGACTCTGGGATGCAGGAGCACTACAATGTACTTACTGATTTCTTAGTGCCCAGATTCTCAGAAGTAAGAAGAGCAGGAAGGACTCAGACACCAAACAGAAGGAAAATCTGATTTCTTTACAGTGTATTATAACTGATTATTCAACTATAACTATAAAATAATCTATTGAGAGCTGTATAGCCAACATTTTAAACTGTGTATCTTCCTGGGTAGTCTCCTTGAAGGCCTTGTCTCACATTTTCACTTTTAAATATTTAAGAAAAATCTTTCCTAGGAGAGCCTTTATTCTAGTATATAAGAAAACAGGCATGTGCTATGCCCTTTATCTGGCAAGAAAACAGGCATGTGATATGCTCTTTATCAAATCAATATTATCCTGCTTGAGTCACACCCTCTACCCCTCCATCTCTTATTTAGTCTTGACCTAAATGAGACTTGGTTGCATCACAAGATCAAACCAACTTACAAAGGACAAGGCTTTCGCCAAAACTAAGTATATTCAAAAGAACATAATCAATGCTGAAGGCAATAAAATGTATAATCCTTCCAAAATACCAACAGAAACATGGACAACACTCATTTGGAAGTTTAAATGACTGTACGTCTACTGCAAAATCAACTGCATTTCATAGTAATACCCTGTAATTCAGATTAAGAACTAATTTCGCCAAGTTCATATCCTGTGAAAAACTGTTGTTAATGTACTTTAACAAAAGGGATTAAAATACAATCTCAATTAAAAAATGTTTATGCTACTGTTGATTCAGATATAAATAGTATTGGCTTTCTCTTACAGTAGTTTCAACTTTGAAACATACAAAACTGTTAAAATGTAAATGTTGAGATTTGGATAAGTAAGCTATTGTTCCAGGGTAACTTTGTTAATCTTCCTTTTATAATAATGATCCAATGCCTTTATTAATTATATATGGCTTTGTTTACATTTATATATGTATATATATAAAACATATAAATAAAAAATTGTAAATAGTAAGGAACATGTTAAAATTAGTTCAAGTTATGTTAACCTTTCTTGTAACACATACATTACAATGCTAAGGAAAAAGAGCATCACGTCAAAATTTCACACCTCTTGGGAAATCCACAATCACTCTGGAAAAACAGCTGACCTATCTACAGTACTAAAATCAGCTCAACCACAAACATCCTATCAGTGCAGTAAGTGTTCAAAATATAAATGGTTTTGCCTCCTGTACTACCATGACAACACTTGCCTGCTGTTTGAACTCTTGTTCAGCCAGCCACTGAAAATCCCAAAGTACAACACAAGCTTCTATATGAAAGAAATATAAGAATAAACAGCGTGTGCCTTTCTCAGAAGCTCTGCTCTGACCCTAGAAACCCTTATAAATTTGTGAATAAAGCACGTGCACACACACACAACAACACACATACATGCACACACAAACACACAAAGCTATAGGATTAAAAGGAATCCTACTCCTTCATGTGAAGGGTACTCTTCACAGCTTGGTCCTACAATCAGTAGTTTGAGAATATAGACATTTTTTTCCTTGTAGATTTTATCATATTTTCCAAAGGTAATTTGATTTTTTTTCTTTTTGCCTGATTAGATAAGCCCCTTCAAAATCTCTTCACTTCCCTTCTCCCCTTCAACAAAACAAATCCACAGAAAAAAAATCCCTAAGTGCAAGTCATGTCACTTGCAACCTTCCATTATGGCTCCATAACACAGCAGCATTTAAACAACAGGTCATTATTGCTGTGGGACTAACACTTGATCACTGAGTAATGCAGTTGTCTCCCATGTCCTGAGCATAGCGGTCTGATATTGTAGTCCTTAATTCATCAATGTCTCTTCGTAACTGGCACACATCTGACAGCTTTTTAGTGAGTGTTTCTGTGCTGTGGTCATTCTCAGTCTCTTCAGCTGAACAGTTCATTGCTGTGTAAATAAAACATAGAGAGAATATCTCACATTTTTTTGAACAAAGACATTTTAGAATTTTTCACCTTAATCATCATGGAAATACAGTGCTACACACTGAATACCAGTGAGGCTCAGGTTCAAGTTATGTTTAAATCATGCATCATTCAATATTAAACAGATCTTATCCACTTGGTCCTTTATAAATTTCACAAATTAAACTGAATTAAATGCACACAGTGATACACACAAATTCAGCATGTTTAATGGGTAACAATATTCCAAAAGTGAAAAAAAGCATACTCTAATGTCTCTCTTCAAGCTCAACTAGAGCACTCAGTTTTTCCCATTTGGCAAAATCTGAAGACCATTTGTGTAGTAAGAGGTGGTATCTTACATATTTACGACTGCAAAGTGGGTTTACTGCCATGAAAATATTAATTTTCAAATACATAGTAAGTGTCACACACACACACAGAGGGAGAGCGGGGAGGGAAAATGAGAGAGACAGAGAGGGAGAGGAAGAGGGAGAGGAAGAGTGAAAGCTGGGACCCTACAATCCCAAACAATTTAATCAGGCTGATAGCTGGTTGCCTAATGGCTGAATAACTGAGGGCCTTGAGTCAGCCAGCTTTTAGTTATTTACTTCAGTTCTTCTCTTTGTAAGCATATCTCAACATAAAATCAGGCAGAGCCAGTGATTACAAAAGAAACCTCTCCTTATACCTTCATAGTAGTTTATTGTAGGCATAAGAGTCAGTGAGTGACTGTTATTTTAACAAATGTTAACTGAACATCTGCCATGATATAGGAACTATGTTAGATGTTGAAGTCAGAAAAGGAACAGACACAGTGGCTTGTTCTCGATGCTTTACATACAATTTCATAAACAAATGAACACAGTGAGGTACTGTGGGTAACCTACCACTATATACAAGTTGCAGTGGCATAAAAAAACAAACAACTAGTCCTAACTGGAGAGGTAACAGTTGCTTGTTCACTGGGTTGGCCAAACTGCAAAATGAACAAAAGTGGAGTCAGAAAGCAAAACAGTATGATAGAATTTGAGAAACCTCAAGAAAATCAGTATCTAGCTCTAAAATGGTAGAGTACAAACTGTGACAAAGGAGAGTACCAAGAAATAAGGCTATAGAGGTAGGTAGTAGCTACCTATCTTGACCACAGAGCAGTGTAGGCATTAGGAAACCAGGTTCATAGTTTAGACAGATCTGTCTGGCAACAATGTAAAATGGATTAGGGGGAGGGGATGAGAAAGATGGTTGTCAGAGAGACCAGTATAGGTGACGGGTTATGAAAACTTAAATTAAGGCAATAGTGCAATGGAGATAGAAGGGCAGGAATGTTAGATGTAGTAAGCAGATGACAGAACTGATAGCACTCAATCATCATCAACTTGAGTGATGGGCAGGGATTGGGCACAGGCGCCAGATGAAGGAAAAAGCAGAGTGGAGAATAAATTCTGGGTTCAAGTGACAGGTGAATGGTGGTGTTACTCACTGAGAAGAGGAACCGGTTCAGGGAGGGAAGGAAAGTGTGTTCTGGTTTTGAATGTGTAGAGTCTGTGATGCATTTGAAATAGCCAGTTCTAATATACATGGGAATATAATCTGGAGCCCAGAGGAGATAAATGTCTGGGTAAAGGAGATAAATGTCTAGGTGAAAGGTATGGCAGTAACAGAAAAAACAGGAGTGGATAAGATCACTCAGATAAAGTACTGAATAAAAAGAAACAAACACAAAACCAGTAACAAAAGGCTTCTGGGGATACCAATAATTAAGTGGCAGAGAAGTCCACAGAAGACAGAGACTGAGCAGTCATAAAGGCAGAAGCAGAACCTAGAGAATGATGTCATGGAAACCAAGGTAGTGCACAGTTTTCAGAAGGACAGGGTGAGTAAATGGAGCCATGAAGTGACTGGTTTTTCACAAATCAACTGGCTGGTAAAACTTTCACAATGCCAAATATAAGGTAAGGATTCTGGGGTCAAACTTTAAAGACTAGAAGGAGTATTGGGAGGTGGGCGTGGTAAGATTCACATTAGGATAGCTCTACTACTCTATTACTGAAAAACTTAACAAATGCTACCTTATGACAGTGAAAATGTAGGAGACTCTAAAGTAATTAAAAGGGTGACCAACTCTAAAATCATGAAGAAAGTGAGTTCCCTTTGTGTGTGAGCTTTGCTTCTTGCTCCCAAGAGATATTAAAGCACTCCATGTTCACCAGGCAAACTTCTCCTCTTCCTCGTCTGAGAGCGACACTGAACACCAACTACTCTGTGGAGTCTCCACAGCCCTTCCCACGTAGATTTAGTTGTTTTTTTCCTCTTGTGCTCCCACTGTCCTTTGTCCACATCTCAACTATAGCACCTATCAGAATGCTCTAATAATTTGGTTAATGTGTGGACAAGGACTGTGTTCAGGTTATCTGCATTACCAGCACTTACTTAGTGTCTGGACCATAGAAGGCATCTGATAAATGTTTACTCCGTGAGTGAATATACTTAAACATTATGTGTTTTTTCGATATCCACATTTGTGTATGTGTACAAATGTCTATGAAATGAAAGGGACATAGTTGAGCACAGATAATGTTTCATTTAACAAGTGATATACTTTGGTCAAGAGCATTATTTGATTTGCCAAAATAACTATTATGATGCAAAATGGTGGAATCTTTTTGATGAAACTAGAAACAAAATCAGTTTGTTTGAAACAAAACCAGTATTATTAACCATAATATTAGGCAGCTACTAAATACACGTTGGCCCATAAACCTTATTATATGGTCTTACTGCATTCCTATTTCCTTCCAAGTTCATTTCTTCTCTATTATAAAGAGACTAACATCCTGATTTGGAACCACGTACAGAGATGAGCGTTTCTGCAAAAGTAGCACAGAAAGAAAGGGACACTAGGATTATTACTGTGGCAGCTCCCACAATTATGTGTGGAGGAAGACAGAATTGAGGCCAAGAGTGAATGGGTGTCACATTAAGCCAGCAGGTACGCATGACAAAGGCAACAGATTTGTAGGCTGTGAAAACTGGCTCATGTGAAATCACTGGCACTCACGTGAAGCAGCTGCCATAGAACATATACTGCACTGGAAAGCAAAAATATTTCTCAAATATTTTACCAGTGGACAATATGGTTGGGTCACTTAATCTATACAACTAACACATGAAAGCAAATAGAAGGAATCATTATTTTTGGAAGAGAAAATGGGAAGTCACACCTAACTACCACTCTATTCACATATTTACAGATTCAACATAGGAAACATCACCAGGCATTCTACCAAGTGGCAGTTAATGTCAGCTATAACCCTACTCACTTCTTGCAATGAAGTAATAACAGGTATACATAAACCCACAGACTGATTCTAAGTAGGAAAAGAGATTACAAAAATAAACAGAGAAAAGGCAGTCGGAAGTTCCTGATTCATGAAGATAGGTTTCTAATTGCCACAAAATAAGGACAAGTCATCAGACACTTACATCTTATTCCCAGTAATAATGAAAGATTAGGCTCCTTGCCCTGAGCACGCTGATTAAGAATACTACACAATGCTTTCAAGTCAAACAAACAACAGGACATTTCCTTGAACAGCTGATCAATCACAGTCAAATCAAATAGTGGCCGTTTGGAAAGAACTGTCTGCTGCCTAGATTGGTCAGGTTCCTGGCCCTGATCCAATAAAGAGCATGTCTCATCTGTTTGTCTTTGGTTCTGCAAGGATAAAGAAAACAAACATCAGATTGTTAGAACAGAGGAAAGGTACTCAAAGCCATACAGGTTAACATTCTCCCCCAAGTCTATAAACAAAACGATGGAGTCATATTATATGCACATTAACCAAATTCAACTACATATATGCAGTGGGAAAAAAAACACATAGAAAAATAACAATTTAAATAGTGGAAATTGTTTCTCTGTGCCATCTGATGCTTTAGCGTATATCCAAGGGAGGAAACATAAATCCAGTCTCAGTTTCTAGGAGTCTCTCACGTAATAAGCATGTTGGTTGTGTATGTATTTTTCTTTTTTGGGCCTCAATCTGTCACCCAGGCTGGAGTACAGTGGCGCAATCATGACTCACTACTGCAGCCTTGACCTCCTCGGGCTCTGGTGATCCTCCCACCTCAGCCTCCTGAATATCTGGGACCACAGGTAAACACCATGATGCCTGGCTAATTTTTGCATTTTTTGTAGAGAGAGGGTTTTGTCACATTGCCTAAGCTGGTCTCAAACTCCTGGGGTGAAGTGATCTGCCCACCTCAGGTTCCCAAAACAAAGTATTAGGATTACAGGTGTGAGCCACCATACCCAGCCTGTATTTTTCTATAATGAGATTTATTCCAAGGATAAAAAGAACTAAAAAGTAACTTTGAACCTCACTCTGTGGTTTTTATTGTTAGTAGCAATAGTGGTTTAATTACTTTGAAACTACTTTTTGCATATTGGTGGGGGGAAGCATCTATGTTAATGTTGATAGGAACCACAAACTTCGGTGCGAGAGACAAAGAAATAACAAGTATAAAATCAAAGAAGAAGAAAAAAAGAAAAAACCAACAACTCTGAATTGCTGATCCCCAAAACTGCTACCTTCTTATCTTGAAAACTGCTAATTAAAGGTAACTTTAATTAGCTTTCCAATTGGAACTGTATTTCAGAATAACTCAATAGCCTGGGGTGATTGGAAAAAAACTTTTTTATAGATGAATGCCAGCTAATAAATATAATAAATATATACTGTACTATAATTATGTGAAACTGTATTCTAAAACACAAAATAAATAAAGGTTTGTCTTTTTATAATAATTTTGGTAAGAAACAATGGAATTAATTAACAGGCATATCAAAATCATGTCTTTAATCTGAAAATGCTCTATTAATATCTATAAAATAAGCATTTTATAGTGAATCATCCTTTCAAAGCAAAATTGAATTTCTTCTACTCACTTCAAGCAATGCTTTTGTTAATCTCTGTACATTTCTTTCTTTCTTTTCCAGCTCTTCCATCATCTTTTGAGTGGTCAGTTTCTCTTTAGAAAGCTTTCCTTGCATAGACTAGAATTTTTAAAAAAATTGGAAAGCAAAACAGGTTAACATGTAAAGAAAAATCTCAAACAGAAAGAAGTAGGAATGTTGGCTCTGAATACTTTAAATCTTCTTTCCTCCCCATCCCCTTGGAAGATGAAGCCTTCACTTTTAAACTAATCCCTATCAGTTAGAGAGTGGCTGAATCCAAATAAAAAAGAAAAAGAAATGCTGGTTTCCCAGAATACATTTGGATTTTTTTAAATTACAGTTTTTACCAAGGAAGTTTTTAATTTGTATAAAACATGTCAAATCTGAAGTTCCTACTTAATATGGTATTACAAACAGTTCTTATTTCATTAACTTTTTATATGTAGAGAGTGTATTAGCAACAAATCTATATTTTTGTTTTACATTTTGCTTACAGTTAATGAGATGCAAGATAATAAGATCATGATATCATCCCTATTTTCTATCATTTGAAACATAGCTCCCGTCTTTCATTGTATAGTAATCCAAGCAGTGAATATACTGTGAACTCTGGGTCAAAGGTCTATTATGGGAATTTGATAAGCTAATCTCCTTCTTACTCCTTATAAAATTGCAAATTACCTAGACATGACACTATTGTGAGTACGCCAAAGCAGCATAAAGGACATTTTGAGTCTTTGGTTAGTCTTTTCACCAATATATTAAAAGAAAAAATTGCCATACACCCTGTAGTTATTAGTGAATTCTAAGTGTTTCTATCAACTATTTTCCTTTTATTAGACCACAAAATCAATAAACATATGACCAGAAGAGAGGTTATCATTTTATTTCAGGTCTGTATTTAGTCTCAATTCTGACAATACTTCAGTTTGCTGACCACCTAAATAGCACACAATCTACTATAAAGATATTTTCCTCACATTATCTTTGGATGGAGTAAAAAAAGATAGCTATCACCATGGGTTGAAATAAGACTCCATAAATATAAAGCAGTTTTATCAGTAACAGATACTCAAACTTGTTGCTTTTAAATTTCATTTGTCTGCTAAACTCTGAAAAAAATATTACATTTAGTAACTCAGAAGTTGGACAGAAATGAATCAAACTCTATAACAAGTGTTTCTCCTTCTAGGGAAAAGTTGTTTTATATTCCACAAAAATGAAAAAAAAAAAAGCACCAAGTCAACAAGGGGCTCTCTGAATACGTGTATTATTGAAAACTGAAATTTCCTTTGTAACTTCATTAGATTGACTCAAATCTTATTTGATTAAATGAACATGGAGAGTTATTTACCTAGCTGAAGATCTATCCTTTCTGGCCTAACAAGATTATTTGGCTGGAATCCAGAATTCAACCTAAATTTTCTCAAGATTTGTGACGGTTTATTAGAATTACAGAAGAAGGGCATCATAGACACACTACTCAAACTCACATTCTAACAAAAAAAAAACTAAACTCGAGGGGTGTTTTCACAATATAATTATTATATATAACAGAATAATTATAATAATGATACATTGTAACAGAATACAGTCCTTTAAAAGATAAGAGTTTTATATTTTTACCAATTCAGAGTCATGTTGAATGTGACTAATAATTAGCTAATAAATCCAACTAATATGTCCCTATGTAAGACTGATTTTAATCAGTGCAGAAACAGGCAATCTTCTCCATCAGAAAAACTGAAAATGTCTGGCAGTATTGCCATTTATCACAAAAAGGAAAATCAGATTTCTCATATGTTGCTTGAGTTGAAGGGCAGTTATCAAGAAGCACTTTAATAGGTAAAAGACATTGCAGATAGGCTTATCCTGAAAGGACCAAGTGCTGTACAAATTGGTCTAGGATAATACTAGGTATGAGTGCTATAGTTGTCTGACAGTAACATTTCACCTAAAACATTAATTACTTCTCTATCCTAAATTGTATTAAGATATGTTTAAAAGATAACAAGAAAAATTCTATCAAGAATACTGTGCGTTATTTTATAAATACTTTTTGCAGAGCATTTTTTTGAAATCTCTTAAGCTCTTAAAATATACTTGCTCAAACTGGTAGTACTTTACAATGCATAAATGAAATATCTCATATTTTCTGAAACGAGTGTTTGGCCTTGTGAATTTTACAATAACTATTTATCATTCACTAGACATGTAGGGGATTAATAAAATTAAAAATTAATTTGCAAACACCTACAACAGCTCTCAAATTCTCAGTTTAATCATGACATTTAAAAATTCTGCCAAGGTACTAACCTACAAGGTCTTTATAATGATCATGTTTGAAGTTGAACAGTGGAAATAAGCACATTTGTTGTTTTAACGTAAGTATCCAGAAATGCCCCATTTACAAATAGCTTGAATGAGGGAAAACCAGGTGTGCCTTAGTCCAGATTCTATATAATCCCCAAACCCAATTTAAAAGGAACTATTTTGAAAGAAAATTTATGTTAACATTTTTACTGCATATATACACACATAAACATGCATACCATATAAGAAATTCACAGGGACATTCCTTCATGCAAAAATCATTGCCAAACACTGTTCTGTTCATTGAGTGATACATCAGTGAACAAACAGTCAAAACTCTTGGCCTTTGTGGAACTTTACTAGGAGAAAAAAGACCAAAAGAAATAAAATAAATATGCAAGTTACACAGTATCATGTATTAGAATTTGACTAGTGCTGTGGAGAACAGAGCACAGTAAGGGTCAGGAGACTGAAATCTCAGGTAAGCAAGGGCCTGAAGGAAGTGAGAGATTGTGTCCCAGAGATATCCAGAGTTCCTATCAGTACAAAGGTTCTGGGACAGATGGTGTCTTCTGTGTTTGAGAAAAAGCAAGAGAGCCAGGATGGCTGAGAATAGTAGGAGAAAGAGTCAGAGAAGGAAGACAGCATGCAGAACAGATTGTATAGGGCCTCAGAAATCAGTATAAGAACTTTGATTTTTATTCTGGAAAAAAAAAATGAGGATCCACTGAAGAGTTCTGAGCAGAGACATGATGTAATCTGATTTTTGTTCAAAAGGATCACTTAACCTAATGAGAGTATACTGTGCACAGGCAAGGGTAGAAGCATGAAGAAATAACCCAGATGAGAAAGGGAGACAGCTTGGAACAGGGTGGCAATGGAGGAGGCAAGGAGAAGAGGTCAGATTCTAGACATACTTTCAAGGTAGTAGAATTTGCTGTCAAATGTGAGGTAAGTGAGGAGTCAAGGATAAATCTAGGATACCTGGACTGAACAAATGGAAGGGCAGAGATGCCATTAATAGGAAATCTGAAATGTATAGCAGGGTGTTTATTTTGGTGGTGGGGAGATAAGAAATAAAAAAAAGAGCCTTTTTTAATGTTTCTAAGAATCTAAGACAATGTACAGCTCGAATTCCTTTCTTAAATTAGTTATCATCTTGTAACTTGATAAAACTTTAAAAACAATCTGCCTGGAGTTTTGCTTCTAGCATGACAGTGTGAGGAGCTCCACAGACCTACCACTCAATGAAATTGGTGAATATTATAATTAAAAATTTCTGGAAATGGTCCTAAGAGCATATAGCAAATGAAGAAACATTACTCAAGGAAATCTACTAAAACTCAGTAAGAAGAGTAAGAGACTGGTATTTGAAATAAAACTCTGCTTCACGAAAGGATTCTAGAGTAGAAAAATGAAACAAAACTCAACTCCATCTCTGACTTCTCACATCTCATTGGGATGGAAATTCTACTTCAGACTGACAGAGCCAATAACACACGGCTCCCTCTCCTCCCAGACCCTAGTTAGACAGTTCTCTTTCCAGAAAAGATAGGGCATCAACATTTATCATCCTAGCAAAGGCTGTTTTAGGCAAGTGCAACCAAGAGATGGGGGGCTCCCTTCTTCTACCTCAATCCCCTTATGGGATGGAAGCTTACATTGAGTGCAGAAATCCTGACCCTTGCCCCAGCTTGTGGGGCACTGGTTCTACGCTGGGAGAGGCAAGTCAAAAAGATGTAGGGCTGCTGCCAGAACTCCCTCCAGTGAGCGTTCAGCTACTAGAGTGGGGGTACCATTCAGAAATTTGTCATTGTCCCCACACCAATTAACCTGGCTTAAGAGATTTTGCCTGAGGAAAAGTAGGCCATAGAACTAGAAGCTCCAAATGTCTCTCTATAGGAATTCACTTCATTTGCAACAGTGTGATGACAAAGCCTTAGAGCACTCAAAAACATTGGAGATTGTCATGAAAGGCAGTTGACAGGATACTATTAGACCCATTGGCCCTATAGGCTAAATCCATAGACTACTTTCCCAGGGAAAAACAGTGAGATAGCTGGGAAGAATACTCCTGAGGTCAGAACAAATCTCAAACACTAAGCTAATGAACTGTCCCTTCAAAAGAGCTAGAATGGATCAGTTTGTGAAGCAATTTATGCCACAGGGCATTGTTGAAAACAACTGAATGATTGGCTACAATTAGTGGAGCCTAACAGCTGGATATGGTCAAGAGTCACAGAAGACCATATATACATTTGTATGAAATGTTTAAAATAGGTATATTTATAGAGATAGCAGGTAGATCAGTGGTTGCTTATGGCTGGGGAAGTGGATGGGGGCTTAGGGAAGTGACAAAAATGAGGCTTCTATTCGAGATGATAAAAATGTTCTAAAATTGACTATGGTCTTGGTTCCACTTATCTGTGAATATATTAAAAAGTATTGAATTGCACACTTCAAAAAAGGTGGGTGAATTGTAGGTGACATTTTTTTTTTTTTTTTTTTTTTTTTGAGACGAGTCTCGCTCTGTCCCCCAGGCTGGAGGACAGTGGCACAATCTTGGCTCACTGCAAGCTCCACCTCCTGGGTTCATGCCATTCTCCTGCCTCAGCCTCCTGAGTAGCTGGGACTATAGGCGCCCGCCACCACGCCTGGCTAATTTTTTGTATTTTTAGTAGAGATGGAAGTTTCACTGTGTTAGCCAGGATGGTCTCGATCTCCTAACCTCATGATCCGCCTGCCTCGGCCTCCCAAAGTGCTGGGATGACAGGTGTGAGCCACCACGCCCGGTGACTTATATCTTAATAAAACTGTTAATGCTTGAGTTCTTTGGCTTCTAACTTCTGGAAAAAATGTATTTTCTGGTTTATAAGTATATCTACCAAAATATGTTAAATGTGTTTGATGACACCTAAGTATCTCAGAAACTAAACTTGTTTTTTAAATTTAAACCTCAGTCTTTCTCTCCAGTTCCCACTCTTTGGTCCACTGAGCGTGCTGAGGATTGTAATGCTTCCTAAATGCTCTAGTTTTACTGCCAGACTATATGGCAAAGTTAGGGACTGCCTGAGGAACTTAATAATACATAATTCGAAATTCATCCCAGAGATACTGATTCATTAGGTTCACAATAGGGCCCAGAAATATATATCTTAAAAAGTATTACAAATAATGTGAGTATCCATATAGATTTGGTGACTATTCGCAGCGCTAACAGGCCCAAGAACATTCTTTCATGATTCAAGTGAGCTGTCTTCACTCGTACAACTCCCCCCCGCGACATAACTGATTTTTCAAGTTAAATCCACCTTTTACACATTTTTTGACATATCTTAATTATGCAACTATAACATGCATACAACAGATCTACGTGAACAGTAAAGACTGTTCTCTTTACAAGTACCAAGACTACAGTGTGTGCGTTTTTTTTTTTTTAAAGCTACTTTTCATAGAAGGCATTTGGCTGGTACATTTTTCAAAATTTAGTATTAACTTCTGATAAGAATACTTTTAGTTTTTCACCATCATAAGCAATTTTACAGAAGTAAATGTTTTCAAAATTAAACTTGAGAAAAAGAACTTTATTTCAAGACATAACACAATTCGGATAACAAAAAATAGGAGATAAACATCACACAATAATAATGGGAAAACATTAAAGCAATTGATATTTAAAGGAGTTATGTTCTACCTATAAGATATTCCATTGACTTATGATCCATTTTCCCACTATTTCTACTGAGGAAAACTGCTAGATGAAGGATTTATGAGATTTGCTAAAAATTGGAATAGAATTTTCTTAGGCTGTGGGAACATCTCGATGTGTTATAAATAGAACAGACTGTGTCACAGTTTTGAGACTGGTGGTTCCAACCACGGCCAAGTAAACAGTCTTAATGTCCTCTAACGTATTATTCTATCTTTTGTGATATTATGATCATCTATTGATGGCTGTCAATTCAGAAAGGCCATTTAAATGCCTAAGTTCTTGCAATTAGTAAACATTTTAATGTCAGAGAAAACAAGCACACATTACAAAACTCTATGTCCTCTGCCAAAAGACTACAATGATAACAGCTCACTGAAAAAGGCTTACGGATTTGAAATGCACTTTTGAGAAATAAGAAGGAAAGTAATGCCCAATGAAGAACTCAATCACATTCTGACTGCAGCCATATGTTCATGGAATTGACAAGCAACATTCTACCGCAAAATGTCTTTATATACTGTATAATGACAGAAGAAAAAACCTATAGGAGAAGCAGCCAGGCTAGCTATACTAGTTTTATGGATATAAATAAGGGCGACATTTCTAAAAGGTCAATGAGTAAACAAGGTATTCATGCCAGTTAACAATATGACCTTGACAGCTGAAAAAAACAGTAGATAAATCTGTATTTTTACAGCACTCAACTCAATTTCCAAATTAGCATATACTTTTACATGAAGTATTACTTTTTCTATATTCAACAACAAATATAGTATAACTAGTAGAGGAATGATTTCTCTCCAACTTCGAAAGCTGTGAATAAATAAACATGCCAGTGACCTATAACAGATAAGTATTTATTTGACTTTTGTGGCAAAAAAATAAACTATAGCTGTATTTTGAACACAGCATCTAAGTATGAAACAATGCCCTATTTTTTATCTCCTATAAATTGGACATAAAATGTACATAGCCTGGGATTTTTTTTTCCCTTTTGGGAGTAAATTTAAACTGTATGAATAACTTGCTTGTTCCCAAGGAAATGCAGTGCACCAAATCAAGACAAGTGAACTTCAAACAAATTTGGTGTTCTCAACAGTTTGCAAGGACATAAAGAGGCAGTAACACATGAAATTCTAATAGTACCAAGTTATCTTTGTCTACTGAATACTCTAGAATGGAAAAACCAAGCACTGTGGAGGAAGAAAGAATATCCCAACTATAGCGTCAGTGAGATTTTACATAAAATTAATACTATAGTGATAGTCAAAATGCATAATTTATATTAAAAATAATTGGGAGGTTCTCTGGTATCCTTAATTATATAGTGTTTTGTGTTATTTTGGATAGGCAAAGGTATTTGAAGAAATTCAAAAACAGAGCTATAGCATATGGAAAGGACATCATAATCTACATAGGTATAAGCTGACCATTCTTTACGTAAGTTGATGAGGAAAAATCAGGCAGCTTTAAGGAAGTAGAAAGTGAAGGGAATTGCTGTATTAGGTATATCAGCTTGATAATACACCCATTAATTATGTCCATTAACCACAATAGAAAGCCACAAGAATATTTTTTCAACCCAAAGTGTTCTTTTCAGTGTGTCCAATGCTAGGGAAATAATCAGTGCTCCTCTTTTAATAACAAGCAATATTTTCAGATTTTTATAGATATGCCTTTTAGAAAAAGGTCACCAAAAATGACCAAATACAAACAAAATTTGTCTTTTTAAATGATGAGGGGCCAAAAAATAACATGAGTTTAAAACTAGTAAATAATTTTCTCATTATGTGAGTCATATTCATCTCCAGCTTTGCTATTCAAATACCATCTTCACAAATATAGCTATTTTAGCCAGTTATCAACATTTATTGTCTGTCTCTGTGACCTGTATCTATAGATCTCTGTGTCTCTAGATCTGAAAACCTTGATGGTCAGAATGGGCAAATGAGATGCTAAGAACAAAAAAGAAAAGAAAACCAAAAAAGATAGCCATTGTTTCAAAAGACAACAGAATTAATAATTATAGTGTCTAGGCCCAAATATTTGGAAATAAATGCATCTCATTAATTTTACTTCAATTCTCTACATAGTTTGAATAAAAGATTTGTGTTTGCTGAAACAATTTAGTAACAAAGAACAGTATGGCCCATAATTGCATATTCTTCTACATATTCATTTATGTATGGTCATGACATATTTACATGTGACTACAGACTTGGTTAACATATAAGAGTAAATTGCAGTAAGATGCCTCCACAAATGGGGGAAAATGCACATTTCAATGAATGCTAATATATACTGAACACCTATAATGTGACAGTATGTGATAAATGAAATCTTACAAGTCATTAAAGTTTCAATGCCAAAGTTCAAGTGTCGATTATTCTTAATTTAGATTGAGATAACTTGTATTAGATTTACTTCTTGGAAAACGTGCCCAAGTGAAATGGAAATTCCTTGAATTATGGTCCAGCATAAGTCACATAACAATAGCTGAGGAAATCTAACAATCTAGAGGTTCTAATGGCTTATGGAACAGCTGAAGTTATGTTTGTAGGAATATAAAATAAAGTTTATAACCTCTGTCAATCAATCCATCAGGCTCATACATTTATTGATAAATAATACAACCAAAAGACAAAGAAAGAAGACTGTATATAATGGCAAATCATTTACCACTTTTACTTTGATTTTAAGAAGTAACAGTAAAATTAGGGGTATAAAGCTAAACATTTTTCAGCAAAAGATGACCAATGACTTCCCATCACACTACCTCACATTTCCTGCACTCCAGGCTAACAGACTTTGTGCTGTTCTTAGAGCATGCCAGGTACATAAAGGGCACTTGTTGCTCCCTTTGCTTGGAATGCTCTTCCCCTGGATGTCTTCGTTCAGATCCCTGTTCAAATATCACCTCTTCAGGAAAAACATCATGACCACTCTATTAAATGTAGCACTCTCTAGCCTACTTAATTTTTTAAAATAACATGTTTAACAGCAATTTTTTTCATAGCACCTGGTATTCATTATATTGGTTTTGTATTCTCTCCAACTCACCCCACTAGAGTGGCCAGGGATGTGACTTGTTCACTGATGAATCTTTACAATTTTTTAGGATTAATTTATCAAACAGCAAAAACTGGAAGATTAATATTAAAGAATTTGCAACTTTACCTCAGTGCTATAAATATTATCTTTCCATACGATATATGCATGCTTTAATATTTTCAGATTAAATAAGCATTAAGAGTATATCAGAATATAGCTAAATTAAAATAAGCACAAAATATTCCTTACCTGAATTTCTAAAATCATTCTGTCAATCTCATCTTGTTGGCTGTCTATTATCTAAAACAAAATAAATACATCTGATTCAAATAATTTTTACATCGCTTCTTAAAAGTACCAACATTTCAAGAAAACAGCACAGAAATTTATAAATTTATTTTTTAAAAGGGTCTTTTTAAAAAACTGAAAGTATCCTTATGATTTGGGTCACACACGTATAAAACTACAAAAGTCTTCCTCTAGTTCTCAATAAAAGTTTTCTCAAATTTATAAAATTTTTAAGAGTAACTTTGAGACAGACTGAATAATTAAGGAAGGAAAAAGATATCCTTTTGTTTTGGCTTTTATTTCAATTATTTAATTTTGTTTCAATTGCTATGGTCCTTTCAAATAAAAACATTCAAACTAGAAACTATGTAAGTGATTAAATATTAACAAAATATAAATCACATAAAATAGCTATAAATTATGTATCTATACACACATATCCACATAGCATAGATTTCACGTTTATGATCTAAGGTATCTACTGACCTTACTAGCAGTCTCATTTTGTTGTCTGAGATTATCATTTTCATTCTGAAGCTGTTTTGCATCTAACATGGGAAGGCGGATTCCATCTTCAAGGCATCTTTCTACTTTTTGTTGCAAACTATTTCAAAAGACAATTATATGAAGAAAATAAGCTCTATTTGCTGATTTTGGTAATGATTTCAACATAAATGATTATTGCTTTATTAAAAAATATTATAGACCCTAAAAATGACATCAAGACCCACAGACAGTATATGAAAAACTGTTATCTATAGTTCATAACAAGTAAGAAGGGTCCATAGTTAGCTAGAGGCTGATCATCTTTTCAGAAATGGCAAATTTGAGACCAGAGTCCAGAGTTGCTCAGTATGTGACATCCTTAGGCTCCGATGAAGTCCTTCATTACCCAAATCTGAGCTCTGAAGTCTAACTCATGTTCTTTCCTTTTCCTCTAAAAGCAGGGTTCCTTGATTAAGATGATCATTGCAGGGAACCTAAGAATATGGATCCACATCTTTTGTTCTTTATTCTAAGCTCAGCAAAAGTTTGCTTGTAAGAATAGCTGTTGCCTAAATCAGTAGAGTTGCATTTCTCTTTCATTTCTTTTCTTTTTTTTTTTAACTTTTATTTTAGGTTTGGGGGTACACGTACTTACAACTGTATTAATTGAGACCCACGAGGCAAGAGAAGTAAGTAAATCTGGAAGATACATGGCAAAACTGCTGTACCTTTTACTTGCAGTAAAGTTAGAAATAGGAGCCAATCACTTCAATTTGATATATTCCATTAAGGAGTGCAGTTTGAGTATTTTACTGGCCCCTTTTTCGTTATTTAGAATTTTTACTTTTTTTTTTTTATAAAGCCATTAGGTAAAGGGTTTGTATTAATATTTTCAGTCTTCATTTGTATGAGTTTTTATTTTTACTATTTTCAACAGAAACTTTTGGCAAGATATCAATATATTGCTTCAAAATGTTAAATTATAACTGAGATAACCTGTTTCAATGAAATTATGCTTCTAGTTCTTAATACAGGTTGAACATCCCTAATCCAAAAACCTGAAATCTGAAATGTGTCAAAATCCAAAACTTTTTGAGCATGGACATGATGCTCAAAGGAGATGCCCATGGCAGCATTTCAGATTTTGGATTGTCAGAATTAGAAATGCTCAGTGGGTAAATACTTGGCAAATATTCCAAAAGCTGAAAAAAATCTTAAATCTAAAACATCCCTGGTCACAGGCAGTTTGGATAAGGGATGAGCATCCTGTAGTACATCTTTAAATTAAGGAGAATAAAATAAAAATTATAAATTAATTTAAGTAAAATGTTTTATGAAAAATACGAATAAAATAATGTAGAAGGATTCAGAAAATTTTCTTACCTCTGAACGGTAGTTACTAACTCCTTTTCTTTCTTTTTCTGGCATATTAACTGTGTCTCTTTATCTTGACACTGCTTTTTGATCTCTTCAAGTTTTTTTTCTGTATCTATCAAAGCCTCTTGTAAATTCTTATTTTTTTCTTCCAGAATCTGCAGCTAAGGAGAAATGTTTTACAGTTCATTACACATGAAATATTAAATACGCTTCTATTAGAAACTGTTACTGTGTTGGCAAGGATTAACAGACTTGTAGCTAAAAAAAAAAAAAAAAAAGAATCACACTGTATTTTATCTAGAGTATTTAATTCTCCATCTCTTCCTCTGTGTGAAAGGCACCTAGAAGAACAGAATTACAAGGAAGAGAATGGGGTTAGAAATTTGTAGAAGACCGAGAAAGGTTAATATTCTCATTTTAAATTTATTTTACTTTTATTGTAATAAATATATAACTCTATACTGTCTTAACAATTTCCAAGTGTATGACAGGTTGAGGTTAAGTACATTCACATTGTTGTGCAACTAATCTCCAGAACTCTTCATCTTGCATAATTGAAACTCTATATCAATTAAACAACTCCCCATCTATCTCTCCCTCCATTTCCTGGTAACCAACTTTCTACTTTCTATCTCTGTGATTGAATTCTTAAGGTATCTCATTAAGTGGAATCATACAGTATTTGCCTTTTTGTGACTAGCTTATTTCACTTCACAAAATGTCCTCCAGGTTAATCCATACGATAGCATGTGTCAGAATTTCTCTCCTTGTTAAGGCGAACAGGATTCCACTGTATGTATATACCACCTTTAGTTTATCCATTTATCTGGTCATGGACACTTGGGCTACTTCCACCTTTTGGCTATTGTGAATAATCACATTATAAACATGGGTGTACAAACATCTGTTCAAGACCCTTAACTGCCACCCCAGTGGATGTTAGGTATTTTCTGACATATTTTCTAATACCCATTGCCCTCTGTTCCTGCTCATGCAACCTCCTGCAGTCCTTAATTTCCTGCCTGACTTTAATCTCTCTTAGTTTTTACAACTTATAAATTAATGTAAAATAAACAGAGAATGCAACATAGGTCTTAAAGTATGCAGAGTGACACTTCATAGATTAGATTCTTGAGTGGGGGTAACTTTACCCCCAGAAGACATTTGGAAATATCTGTTTACATTTTGGGTTTGGGATAAACGAGAAGGAGCACTGCTATTGGCACTTAGTGAGTAGAGGGCAGATATGTGGATGCAGAAGTACACCCTTCAAAGATCAAGGCACACCCCTGTAACAAAAAATTATCTGCCTCCAAATGTCAATAGTGCCGAGGTCAAGAATCCCTGGCTTAGAACAACTTTGGGAAGAGACTGAAGAGTAGATCTAGTGGATTTATAAATAAGGTTTCAAGAGAGTGGCCCTCACCTCAGTTAGGAGAAAGACTCTGAGGTATTGTTAAGGAAAAAAAAATAAATAAAAGAAAAAGTCAGAGGAGTTAATTGAAGTCATAGGTCAAGGTATAAGAAAAATATATATATATAAAGGTTAAGAAGAATGAAGAAAATATCTAGAAAGATAGTCAACAAAAGGTCTTGTCGAGCCTTGGTGAATCCTAGAGACTGTGTTGGAAAGCACCAGAACTGGGGGTGTGTGCATGCATGTGTATGGGGTAGAGGTTGGCAGACTGGTTTAGAAACTAACTTCTACAGTAGTTAAGAGAGTTACAATACAGGATCAATAGGAAGGTAATCACTTATTAACTGACAAGAAAGATCTACTTATGCATGCTTAGATAAACAAAGTTTCTTATTAGAATTAAGTCCCCAAAACAGCAATTAAACACATAGATTTAACTTATAGTTAGCCAAATTTCTAGAGTCAAGTTAACATGTTTTCATGTCATTTAAAGATAAGCATTTTATTTCATGTTACCTGTAGACTCTGACTCTGTACATCATCTAGAGTTGGAAGATCAGCCAGATACTTTTCCAAGGTCTCAATTCTTCTCTGCTTTTCTTTGTTTTGTTCAGATTCCTTCTGGCATTTCTTTTTCAGACTACTGATGTATCGATCTCTAGTTTTAAGCTAAAAGCAAACAATTATGAACCTTCAGTAGTTTTCAGTCATTAAAAGATATAACAAAACCAACACTTTAATATTAGACACCATTGAATTCACCAACAGTTTCAGGTTATAGCGAAGGCCACTAGCAACTCAATTAAGATTTACCTTATTTCATTCTAAGATTTACACTTGCCGGGTGTGGTGGCTCATGCCTGTAATCCCAGCACTTTGGGAGACTGAGATGGGCTGATCATCTGAGGTCAGGAGCTTGAGACCAGCCTGGCCAATATGGCAAAACCCTGTCTCTACTAAAAAAATACCCAAAAAAATTAGCTGGGCGTGGTGGCACGTGCCTGTAGTCCCAGCTACTTGAAAGGCTGAGGTATGAGAATCGCTTGAACTGGGGTGGCTGAGGTTGCAGTGAGCCGAGATTGTGCCACTGCACTCCTGCCTGGGTGATAGAGCGAGACTTTGTCTCAATTTAAACAAACAAACAAAAAAAGATTTACACTTAAAAAAATTTATGTCACTGAAATCAACAGTTTAGGGAATATTTGCTTTTACCATGGACGGCATCCTATAAATTGTCATCAACCAGGGGGCAGTAATGACATAGTTTTTATTGCCTGCACATGTGCAAATTTGGTCAAGGCTGTTCATATCTTTGTGATTTCAATATTGTCATATACATGTAGAAACTATGTGTTGAGTTTAAATGATGTCTAAAATGCCTAAACAATGTTACCTTACAATTTAGTATGGAACAATGTTATTGGGTGCCCAGACAGGCACAGAAAAAAAGCCTTTGAAATCAGTGAAGTATTCATCTCTGAAGGAATGACTCCGATTTCTTAGTTTTTGCATAACTATACCCAAATGCTTTATGGGAACTAAGAGAGGAAGATACTACAAGTAACTAAAACTATTTTGTTACGTTAACAGACTTGCAGAGAAATTGCTTATAGTGTACTAAACAATGCAACTAAAGCTGGAAGAATACACCAAATACTTAGGGGCAGATAATGGACTAGTGAAACCAATTCATACCTCAAGCAACACTAGTTTAAGGCACTGTGTCATAATTGAATTTGCAGCTTATTTTCTTTCTAAAAACCACAAAATAAAGGTGTCTTACTATTGATGTCATTTTAGGATTGATAAAGTATGGTAACCGAACACTTATGTCACACATGGTGTGTACACACATGATAATGATTCTAGTAAATCCCAATTTATATAGGCTGAAAGTCAGATTTTCATGTACTTTTTACCCCCTACTACATGAAATATATCATCTATAAATTTCATATCTCATAGTCAAAGCTCTTTCATATTTACTCCTATTTACCTTAAATTAACAATCTTCCAACCATTTAATCCTCTTCAAAACTTACAGGGTTCTAAAATATTTTTACAGTGTTTTCCCATATTCACTGGGAAAATAACTGGCAATAATTAGCAGTAAGATGGATTATTCTTTCAAACTTTATTAAAGCTAACACTTGTTCACAGTCTAGTTTCTTTCATGTATTTTCTAATTTTTTTCAGGTCTAATGTATAACAATTTTTAAAACTTCATGTGGAAAAATTATTCATTTCACCAGTGACATTAGGATCTACTTATGACCTCTGGTAAGGAGCAACACTGGTAAGACAAACACATCCTATTATTTATTGGGGCTTTCTTAGGATTAAAGGTAAATGTGCTGGTGTGACAGTTTACCCTGTGATCTATCAGAATAGAAAACCTTACATACTGTTGGCACTGGTGGTGACCATATAATACAATTCCCTTTTTACAGATGAGGCCCAAAGATCTTTAGTGACTTAACAAGTCACAAAATCAGAAGTGGAATTTGAATCTAGATCATCTGACTGAAAATCAACTTTCTTTCAGTTCTTTGTTATGACTCATTATCAGGTTCTTATTTTAGTAACCAGCTGTGCTTGGTCCCCATCAACCAAGCCTGCTCTTGCCTTAGCAAATGACCCTGTACATTACAGAGGTAAACATGATAAACCAACCTATGTTTACTTAATGCTCTCTAACTTGGACTCAACTGTCTAAATGTCTTCAATGTGACAAAATGATGCCTCAAAAAGCAATGACTGGAATAGGTCTGTCTGTGTGCAAAGATGTCCTACTTTTCTTCTTTTTCTTTTGGTTGTCCAACTCTCTTTGCTGTCATGTCAAGCTTGCTTCCCTTGATCACAAATTGCTGCCAACACTCTCCTACGAGACACTGTCTCTGTTATTTGTTGGTCACATGTTGATCATACATATTCATTGGGTCTTGGGTTTTTTTCAGCCTGCTCACAGATGACAAGCTCTTTGTTTTGTTTTTTGGTGTTTCATTTTTTTTTAAAACTGCCAAGTTTTGTGCTGTCCCATACAAACAGAGGTTACTGAAGTCTGAACTGCATTAATTACCTCCAGATAAATGAGGTGTCACTAATAAATCTTCTCTATTCTATTAATACAAGGCTAAGTTTTTCTTTTCAAAGAGGTATGACGCAATACTGATATCATTCCTAGAAGGTAATAGGAAGGACATGTTTTATAAGAAGTTCACAAAGTTACTTTTCTTTATTATCTGGCTTTTATAAGAAAGAACTCAAAGGTAACATTATTATTACCACATTGTTTTTTCTGTCATAGAATCAGTCTTTGATAAGGATTACAGAGTAAATGCCAAAAGAAACAATATGATCCAATCTTGTGTGGACCCAAAGTGCTGTTTGTTGATTTGTTATCAAGGAGCCTGCTCTTCCTAATCTATGCACTCCCTTGAAGAACTCAAGTCATCTCCATGTGCTCTGACACAAACTCTGCCCTCTACATCTATCCCCTCTCCTCAAATTTCTCTGGTATGTACATTTCCATTCTTAATTGCCTCACTCCCACAGAAGCTACTCCTCTTCTTTTCGGAGAGTAACTCTACCATATTTGCATCTGTTACCAACCCTTCCCGAACTTGCTCCATTATGCACCCACTCTAACATCTTTGATCTCTCTCTCTCTCATTGTTTTTTCCCTAGTCTACCTTACTGCTTTCTCTCCCATCCTGGCAAAAATTACCTGAAAGAATTCATTCAACATGCCAGGCACCATGAATGGTGCTACATACGCCACAGAGACACATTCAAATACAATCCCCCTGCCTTCAAGGAGCTTAGAGAGAAATATAAAAAATAATGATTATACAAATTGGGTTGAGCCCTGGAAAAAAAGAATAAAATGCTATAAGCATATGAAAGGAGGAGTAGAAGGGAAAAATATTAAGCTAGATTTGAGCAAATAAATAGGTGACTTGAAAGTGGGAGAAAAAAATAGCCAAGTATTTACCATGCAAAAAGGCCACTCTGTGTAAAGATCCTGATACCAGAAACAAAGCCTGAGCTGTCTGAGCAACTGTAACACCCAGTGTATCAATACACAGTTTATCAGAGGAAGATTGGCAGAACCTATGGATATATAATTAGGCAATGTGTCTCAGGCCATGGGAAGAATTTGATTTATATTTTAAAGACCTGGAGAGTAGTGTCAGCAAGATGGCAGAAAAGCAAGTCTTGAACTCTCCTTCCCCAAACCAACATGTGGGTTCAATTAAAAAAATAGTAAAACCCCCAACATGGACAAATTCCCTTTTTAAGAAATCCAAAAATTAGTCAAGAAGCTATTGTACTCTGGGTGAATGCAAAATCAGCCACATGGAAGCAATTAAGGAAATGTAGGACACCTGTAATCCTACCCCCAATACAGCATATGATCAGAAGGAACCTGTTGGGAAAGAAAATAGTTGGATCACACATCCAACACCCCAACTTTTCTGGGTGCTGTTCAGAAGACTGGCTTCTGCCTTGCCTGTCTTGGAACACTAATAGGACCATGACACTCTTGCTGCCTGGGACCAGTGAGATCAGACCGGTGAGATCAGAGATGATGGTTTAGGCTAGCAGTTTCCACAGTCCACAGCTCCAGCTCAGCACTCCAGCAATGAGTGAAGAAACTCCAGATTCAAGTTTCTCCCTGTGCAGAGAAAGCAATGGACAGAACACCCAACAATCTGACTTTTCAGAAGTCTGGCCAAGGGACTGGCTGAAATTCTGCTTGTCTGAGTACTGATAGGACCTAGAATACTCCTGAAGCCTGAAGGATGCTAAGAACAAAAAAAAAAATTAGTTAAACTAGTACAAAGATATGAAAAGCCCCCCTCTCTCGCCAGACTGATTAGTGAGGGTCTTCTCCTGTATAAGGCTAGTCTCTGAGGAGTGGAAGTGATAGCTATTTTATATAATATACAAGTATCAACTTAAAGAGGGAGGAAAAATTAACACACAGGGAAATATGTCCAAAACAAACAAAATAAATCTCCTGAAACCAAATCTAATAAAACCAAGATACATGATTTGCCTGAAAGAGAATTCAACATACCCAACATAAAGATGCTCAATGAGGTCAGGTAAACAATGCATGAACAAAGTAAAATTTCAACAGAGATAGGAAATACTTTACCAAACAAATCTTGGAACTAAAAAATATAATAACTGAAATAAAAATTCACTAGAGAGGGTCAAAAGCACTCTAGATCAAGCAGAAGAAGAAATAAACAAACTCAAACACAGGTATTTGGAAATTATCAAGTCAGAGTAACAAAAAGAACAAGGAATAAAAAAGTAAAGAAAGCTTGAGAAACTTAAAAAACACCATTAAGCGGACAAATATACACATTGTAGGAGTCCCAAAAAAGGAAGGGGGAGAAAGGGAAAGAAAGCTTATTCAAAGAAATAATGACTAAAAACTTCCCAAATATGTGTGTGTGGGAGGGAGAGGCAGGAGGCATGGGGAATGGACATCCAGATCCAGGGGACCCAATGGAACCCAAATAAGATGACCCCAAAGAAATATGTACAAAGACACAGTTAAATCAAATTGTCAAAGTCAAAAAGAGAATTCTGAAAGCATCACAAGAAAAATGACCTGTCACATGCAAGAGAACTCCAATAAGACTATGAGCAGATTTCTCAGAAGAAATTTTGCAGAGAAAGTGGGATGATAAACTTGCACTGCTTGGGCAATGGGGAATGGGGGTAATTGTCAACCCAGAATAATGTAAGAAGAAGTGTTCTTCAAAAATGAATGGGAGTGGCTGGGTGTAGTGGCTCACTCCTGTAATCCCAGCACTTTGGGGGGCCAAGGTGGGTGGATCACCTCAGGTCAGGAGTTTGAGACCAGCCTGGCCAACATGGTGAAACCTCGTCTCTACTAAAAATACAAAATTAGCTGGGCATGGTGGCACGTGCCTGTAATCCCAGCTACTCGGGAGGCTGAAGCAAGAGAATCACTTGAACCCAGGAGGCAAAAGTTGCAGTGAGCCAAGATCACACCATTGCACTCCAGCCTGAGTTTGCAAAAAGTGCAAAGCTCTGTCTCAAAAAAAAAAAAAAAAAATGAGAGATAAAGATTTTCCCACACAAACAAAAGCTGTGATATTATAGTTGATTACCTACCCTTGTACTATAAAAAATGTCAAGAGGAATTCTTCAAGTTGAAATAAAGGGATGCTAAACAGTAATACAAAAGCATAAGAAAGTACAGTTGTCCCTTGGTATATGAAAGGGATTGGCTCCAGGACACCTCATGTATAACCAAATCCACACATGCTCAATTCCTGCATAGAAGACATACAAATAGTGAACAGGTATATGAAAAGATGCTCAACATCACTAATCATCAGGAAAATGCAAATCAAAACCATCTCGTGCCTGTTAGGCTGGCCATCTTTTTTCTTGAAAAAAGAAAATAACAAATGATGGCAAGGATGTGGAGAAAGGGGAACCCTTGAACACTTGGTGGAAATGTAGAATGATACAGCTGCTATGGGAATCTGTATGGAGGTTCCTCAAATAACTAAAAATAAAACATGATCAAGCAATCCTACTTCTGGATATTTATCCAAAAGAATTGAAATCAGGATCTCTGAGCAACATTTGTACTCCCATGTTCCTAGCAGTATTCACAATAACCCAAGATGTGGAAACAATCTAAATATCCAGCAACAGGTGAATGAGCAACATAAATGTTATATACACACACACACACATATATACACATGCACACACACACATACGTGTGTGTATATATATACACACACACACGCACACACACACACAAAATGGAATATTATTCAAACTTTGAAAAGAGAAATCCCATCATTTGTGACAAGATGGATGGCTCTGGGGGATATAATGCTAAGTGAAACAAGCCAGTCACAAAAAGGCAAATACTACATAATTCCACTTATATGAGATAAATGAAACAGAGAGTAGACTGGTGGTTGTCAGGGACTGGGGAGCAGGGAAGTGGGAGTTACTCTTCGATGCATACAAAGTTTCAATTACATAAATGAATAAGTGCTAGAGATCTGCTGTACAATATGCCTATAGTTCTGAATTATACACTCAAAAATTTGTTAAAAGGGTACATCTTGTATTAAATGTTCTTTCTACAACGAAAAGAGAAAATATAATGGGATGGCATAAATTAGTTTTAACCAAAGAAGTAAAATGACTGGATCCTTTGTTGTTAAAAGTTAAGTCCTTTGCGCTATCAAGAATGGATTTGGGAGGATGTGGAGAAACTGGAATTCCCAACACTAGTAGTGGGAGTATTAAATGGTACAATCACTTGGGTAGTTTCTTGTAAGTTAAATATCGACTGTACAAACCCTATGATCCAGCAATTCAACTACCAGGTATTTATCCAAGATAAATGAAGACACACATAGACAAAAAATCTTGTACAAGAACGTTCACAGCAGCCTTATTCATAATTTCTCCAAAATGCTAAAAATCCAAATATCTATCAACAGGAGAATAGATACACTGTAGTATATCTTTATAATGAAAAACACTACTCAGCAATAGATAGAAACTGATACATGTAGCTATAAAAATAAATCTCAAAGACATTGAATAAAAGAATATATACCATGTAATTTCATTAATATGAAGTCCATGAAAAGTCAAAATTATACTGATAATAATCAAAAAGCACACACACACCACATTTTCTTTATCGATTCTTTGCTTAATGGGCATTCAGGCTGGTTCCATATTTTTGCAATTGCAAATTGTGCTGCTATAAACAAGCATGTGCAAGTGTTTTTTATGTAATGACGTCTATTCCTCTGGACAGACACCTAGTAGTGGGACTGCTGGATCAAATGGTAGCTCTACTTTTAGTTGTTTAAGGAGTCTCCACGCTGTTCTCCACGCTGTTTTCCATAGTTGTTGTACTCGTTTACATTCTCACCAATAGTGTAAAATCATTCCCTTCTATTTCATACCAACATCTATACACACACACACACACACACACACACACACACACACACACACATATGCATGCATATCTAGTGTTCCTGTCTGTGTATTTGGTTTTTAGCTTCTTATTCTGAATCAGGGGCTTCAGTTTAATAACTTAAGTTGCATCATTATTAAAGATAGGCCAGCTTCATTTACCAACCCTTTATGCCCAACATGACAAAAAAAATGAAATCATAGACTCAATAAGGAAAAGGAGAACAGTTATTTGGTGTAGGCAATTAATTTTTTAAAGATTTTACTATTTGTTAGAAAGATATACAAGAGCATTTCTATCCTCAAAGAAAATCCTTGGATTTCTGCAGACAGCAGAGGGCTTCTCAAAAGTTACTACAAAATTAATCACCTCCACATAAATGTATACATAACCTGGCATGACACCTGACAGGGTAAATGACAGACAAATAATTATATGCTGAGGAAATGTTGTTGACCTAATTCAACTTTATTAGAAAAACCTACTTTTTCCTCTAGTTTCTTCTTCTCTTCACTAAATAGGCTTAGTCTTTGTTTGAGAAACTCATTAAGCTGTAAAACTTCTTTCTCAGTAGATGCAAGCTTTTGCTCAAATTCCCCTTGTTGGGAATGGGAAACTGATTCCTCTGAAAATGGTGTCTGGAGTGAAGTGTTCTCATATTGTGGCTGTTAGGAAAGAAAAAAAGGAGGTAAGACTTTAAAAGTTTGTCTTGAACAAATGTGAAGAAATTGGAAATGAAGTATAATATAAGGAGTACATATAGGCTACATGAACAGACACACCTTGATTTAAATTCCAGCTATCTTGCTTCCTAGTTATGTACCATAATTAAAGTAAATTACTTACCTTCTCAAAACCCTGGTTTTCTCATCTCTAAAACAGAAACAATAAAGCCTACTTTGCAGTGTTTTTTGAAGAAAGATAAAGTATGTAAGGTTTCCAGCATATAGGAGAAACTTCATGAAAGACAGCTATTATTTGATTTTAAAAGTATACTTCAACATGTAAATAGTACAGTATATACATTAATCATATAAAAGTGAAAGTTCTAAGTAAATAAATAAAAACTAAAGAAAAATTTCTTCACAGTTAATCATTTCCAGCTAATACTAAATTCAATATGTATTAATAGAATGTTTCTCTAACTAGAAAGTAAGATCCATGAATCGGGGATTCTTGTCCATCTCAAAGTGTCCATCTTATATTCCCTATTGCATAGAAAAAAATGGCACAAAATAAGTACTCACAAAATAATTGTTGAATGAATAAATGTATTATTGCTTCTATGAGCAAGGCTTTGAAGGAAATTCTTTTCAAGGGGAAGATATTCCCTCTCCCCCATGTAGGATTAAAATCTGGAAGAGGAAGGCAGGAAATACAAATATTCCTTCAAACAAATCAGCATGTGGTTAAGTGCTGTAAAAAGATATCAACAAAGTACTGTAAAAGCAAAGAAAGAGGTTATTTTTCCATTTATTTAAAAGATATTTACAAAGCACATACGTTAGGCATTGTGCTAGGTGCTGGGGATTCTACAGTTAATAAAATCAGATCCCACCAGTTTAATGTGTCATACACAAAAAGACCAAAAAAAGACAATGAAACTAAGTGCTAAGATAGTTACATGTGCAGTAGCTAAGGGAGGGTGTTACAGAAGTAAATTTGAACTAGGCCTTGAAGAACTGATACTTTCCCAAAAGGTAAGCATGCAACTCAACCATTACAGAAATAGCATTTATCATGTCCAGGCTATTTCAAAGATGGCAGACTCACCCTTTACAAACTCAAATTTTAATCAGAGACATGAGAAGCCTTTAGATGATTGTAATATAGAACAGAATGAATATGGTAGCCAAATAAAGGCCATGTTAAGTACAAAGTATTGGGAGAAAGTAGGATACATGAAGACATTGAGCGAATGAGGAAAAAGGCTTTTCTGGAGAGGTGGCTTTTGAGACAGATTTTGAAAAACAGATTCTGGCAAGAATGGAAAAAGGAACAGGCATTCTAGAAAGAACATTTTTAAAAAGGTTAAAAAGTAGATACAGAGAGTTATCATGTCATGTTTATAGGTTACAAGTGGGCAGAATAAAAGGGAAAACTTACAAATCTAGGTTGCAGCCTTCCTGTAGAATTCCAAGAATTGTGAACTTGGCTTTGTAAATCTCTATATTCCCCAGCATTCAATCTAGTGTCTAGACTCTGAGCAAGTCTGATGAAAGGGAAGAGATGAGAGGAAAAAGACAAGAGAGTGCTAGAAGAAATAGGACAAAGCTAGATTCAGTGAACAAGATGCACTGAGAATGAATATGGATGTTATCATTTAAAGAAATTATTCTAACTAATTTAGCTGAAAAGAAACAAGGAGCTGATATAGAGCATGGAGAACAGAATGAAGAAACTGGAAGCAGGGTGAAAGGATTTAGAGAAAATGATTATTTAAAGATGTAAATGGAAAATAAATGTTAAAGATAACCAAGGTTTAAGATTTTGTCTAACTAATACGGAAGATTATCTTCTGGGCAGAAGTAAATATAAAGAAGAACAGTAGGTTATATAGAAAAATAGGTTATACTTAAGCAGATATACTTAATATAATTAGAGCCTATGATTATTATTTCATTTGAATATACAAGTACAGATGGACACCAGGCAGAAAGATAGATATGGAACTCAGGAAGATGGCTAGGCTATGAAACTATAAAAAGCTAATACAGACTTCCAGTTTCTAGCCCAGCGTGTAAAGATATCAGAAGTCGCCACTCAGTCCTAAAAAAAATAAAATAAAAAGCTGAAAAAACTGAAATATCAACAAGTCTTCTAAAGTCTGTGAGAGAAATGAGGTTACAGGGCAAACTGCTGCCTCCAAAACTGGAAAAAAAGGATAGGTAGAAACAGAGGTTCATAACCTAATAAAGCAAAAACCCATTAGTAGAAGAGCCAGGGTGGGAAAATCTGTAACTAATGAATTGCTAGAGACTTGGAGTAGATAAATCTGAGAGTTAAAAATTCCACGGGGACCCAATCATACAGGAGGTTTCCATATGTCTGTGAGTTTTACCTCCAGGAGTGTTCTACAAGATCTTCAGTGAGTATCAGAGAAAAATCCCCTCCTGTTTCTGGCAGGGGGAGGGGAAAAGGAACCATTTAAAATATGCCAGAGCATTCTGTTCTTAAAAATGCCTGCCGTCAGGAGAAACTATTTTACCAGAGCCTAAACTGCTGGGGTTTTATCAGAGCTTAACGTAGTTGGGGTAAAGGGAATAACCCAACTCCAGCCAACTCCAGCCTTCCACATAGAGGAGGGTTAATACACAAATCAAGCTCCTTTGGCCTTCCCTGTGGAAATACCAACTCCATCGCCCTCCTGCCATCCTGTCCCGCCTAAGGGTGGGGAAAGAAAAAATCTTAGAAAACTGAAGTTCACAATCCAGAGGAACAAATTCACCAAAAGACTGAGACCTAAACACAGGACTATAGAATACTTCCCCTTCCCTGCACACTTTACCACTGCATTACTAAAGCTCTATTTACCACACTTATTAAACCTTGGACATCATGTCTACTTTCAACAAAAATTACAAGACACGCAAAAAGGCAAAAAACGCAGTTTGAAGAGACCACAAAGCATCAGACACAGAGTCAGATATGGCAAGAATGTCAGAATTATCAGACCAGGGATTTTTGACAACTAGGATTAGTAAGATTATGATAGAAAATGTAGACAGTATACAAGAACATACAGATAACGTAAGTGTAGAGATAAAAATTCTAGAAAAGAATAAAAAAGAAATGCTAAAGATTGAGAACACTAACAGAAATAAAGAATGTCCTTGAGGGACTCATTAGCAGAGTAGACCTGGCTGAGGAAACAATTCCTGAACTTGGGATATGATGACAGAAACTTCCAATACTGAAAAAGAGAAAAAAAAAAAACCTTAAAAAAACAACATGCCTTGTTTCACATGAGGCTTCTGACTTGGACTTTCGGGTTAATGCTGGAATGAGTTAAGG
Source organism: Homo sapiens (assembly GCF_000001405.40). NCBI lineage: Eukaryota > Metazoa > Chordata > Mammalia > Primates > Hominidae > Homo > Homo sapiens. The sequence goes on from NC_000006.12 coordinate 118,495,215, forward strand.
CTTTAGGGGACTGTTGGGAAGGCATGATTGTGTTTTAAAATGTGAGAACATGAAATTTGGGAGGTGCTGGGGTGGAATGACACGGTTTGGTTGTGTCCCCACCCAAATCTCAACTTGAATTGTAGTTCCAATAATCCCTATATGTTGAGGGACTCAGTGGGAGGTAATTGAATCATGGGGGCGATTACCCCCATGCTACCGTTCTCGTGATAGCGGGTGAGTTCTCTTGAGATCTGATGGTCTTACAAAGGGCTTTTCCCTCTTTGCTCAGCACTTCTTCCTTCTATCATATGAAGAAGGATGTGTTTGCTTCCCCTTCCACCATGAATTTAAATTTCCTGAGGCCTCCCCAGTCACGCGGAACTGTAAGTCAATTAAACCTCTTTCCTTTATAAATTATCCAGTCTCAGGCAGTTCTTTATAGCAGCATCAGAACAGACTAATACAAAGCCCTTTACTGTTGGTGAAGAGGTGATCCTGCCTGCTGCCAAGCACATTTGTCATGAACTCTTAGGAGACGCTGCAGTTCAAAAGGTGACATGTGTTCATCTTTCATCTTTCAGCCATCACAACAAAATGAACTGATGAAACAGCAGAGGATATTGAGGCACAGTTGTTAAAGAGGATGAATGAGTCACTGTGGTATGCAATCCAGGTTGAAAAGTCTATCAATGTTAACAAGGCAACAAGGCTTGCTTTTGTGTGATATATTTTCAGAAGGATGTGCAAGAGGATATGTCATACGCACTTTTATTGCCAACCAACACCACAGCTGCAGAATTATTCAAGTCTTTGAATGATTACATATCAGAAAAATGGAATTGGTCATTTTGTGTCAGTATACGCACAGACAGAGAGGCTTCCATAACTGGATGTCCTTCTGGCTTCACAACTTGGGTCAGATGGTCACTTCTGCATGTGACTCCACACATTGTGTCACCCATAGAGAAATGCTGGCTAGCTGAAAAATGTCACCTGAATTTAGCAACATTTTGCAGGATATCCTTAAAATTATCAACCACATTAAGTACATGCCCTTAACCCACATCTGATGGTGCAGCTCTGTGAGGAGATGGACGCAGGGCACACACGTCATCTCTTATACACAGAAGTGATTGCTTTGTGTTATTTTATTTTATATTTTTTATTTTATTTTATTTTATTTTATTTTATTTTATTTTATGAGGCTGGAGTGCAATGGCACGATCTCGGCTCCTGCAACCTCCACCCCCGGGGTTCAAGCAATTCTCCTGTCTCAGCCTCCTGAGTAGCTGGGATTACAGGCATGCGCCACCAAGCCCGGCTAATTTTTGTACTTTTAGTGGAGATTGGGTTTCACCATGTTGGTCAGGCTGGTCTCGAACTCCTGACCTCGTGATCCACCCACCTCGGCCTCCCAAAGTGCTGGGATTACAGGCGTGAGCCACTGTGCCCGGCCAGAAGTGATTGCTTTCTAAAGGTAGATTACTGGCCAGAGTTTTTGAGTTACAAGAGCCACTCCAGAGATTTCTTTTAGAAAAACAGTCACCACTGGCAACACATTTCAGTGACACAGAATGGCTCACAAAACTTGCTTACTTATGTAACATATTCAACCTGCTCAATGAAGTCAATCTGTTGTCACTTCAAGGGAGAATGACAACGGTGTTCAAGTCAACAGATAAAAGTGGCTGCATTCAAAGCCAAACTAGTATTATGAGGGCAATGCATAAACATTGGGATTTCTGACATGTTTCAAACATTAGCAGAAATCTTGAAACAGACTGAGCCAGGGCCTTCTTTCTCCCAGCTGGTACATGGATCACCTATCTCAGCTTTTTAAAGAATCTGAGCATTAATTCCCAACCATAAAAAAACCCGAACTGGGAAGAAATGGATAGCGACCCACTTGTAAATTGCCAGGTGAATCAACTTTGTCCACACTAGAAGAGAATCAACTGCTTGAGACTGCAAATGACAGTGGTCTTAAAAGTATGTTTGAGACAACTTCAAGTCTCCATACATTTTGGATTAGAGTCAAGGCAGAATATCCTGAGATTGCCACAAAAGCACTGAAAAGCCTGCTTCCATTTCCAACATCATATCTTTGTGAAGCAGGGTTTTCTGCAATGATAGCGACCAAAATGAGATTACAGAGTAGACTGGACATAATCAACAAACTTTGGGTGTCACTGACTCCCAACACTCCCAGATGAGACCGTCTAGTTGTGGAAAACAAGCTCCGGGCTCCCACTGATTCTACATTATGGTGAGTTGTACAATTATTTCATTATATATTAAAATGTAATTATAATAGAAATGAGGTATACTATAAATGTTATGTGCTTGAATCATCCCAAACCACACCCCCTCCCCAGGTCTGTGGAGAAATTGTCTTCCTCAAAACCAGACCCTGGTGCCAAAAAGGTTAGGGACTTCTGCTATACACTCTGAAGTTATCCTTCAAGAGCGAAAGAGAAAGACTTCCACAGACAAAAATTGAAGGATTTTTGTGGCCAGTATATCTGCTTTGCAAGAAATGTTAAAAGCCTTCAGAGAGAAGGGAAATGACACAGGTCAGAAACTCACATCTAGACAAAGAAAGCAAGAGCATCGGAAAAGGAATAAGTGAAGGTAAAAATTTTTAAAGCTTTATTATTCTTAATTGATCTAACAAGTGACATTTTAATTACAGCAACAATGTAATCATTTATGTATGTTTCTGTGTATGTGTGCATGTATGTATACATATGCTTATGAATAAGTGAAATGACTGATAACAATGATACAAGGATGAGAAGGAAGATGGAGGAATTAGAAGTATTTTGCTATTATATGGTACTTATCATAAGGTACACTTCATTACCTTCAGGTGGTGTAGGGTTACTTGACAGCAGACTTGGATTAGTTATAAATGTAAATGAAAACTATAGGGCAACCACTAAAGAATGTAAAAAGAGAAGTGTAATAAAGTAGAAAGAGAAAAATTGATTAATATAAAATGCTCAATTAAAATGACTGGGAAATGGTTGGCTCATGCCTGTAATCCCAGTACTTTGAGAGGCTGAGGCAGGAGGATCACTTAAGGTCAGGGGTTCGAGACCAGCCTAGGCAACATAGTGAGACCCCCATATCTACAAAAAATAAAAATAAATAAATACAAATGATAAAAGACAAAGTGTGGAACACTACAAAAAAATCTACAGCTAAGCATCAAAATACATCAAACAAAAACTGACAGAACTACAAAGAGAAACAGATTAATCTACTATCGCAGTTGGAGATTTTAACAACTGTATCAGAAATGGACAAATCTAGCAGCTTGGGAGGCCAAGGCAGGTGGATGGCTTGAGCCCAGGAGTTTGAGACCACCCTAGGAAACATAGTGAGACCCAATCTGTTAAAAAAAAAAAAAAAAATAGAGAGAGAGAAAGGAAAGGAAAAAGGGAGGAAAGGGAGGAAAGGGAGGGAGGGAGGGAAGGAGGGAAACAGAAAAGAAAAGAAATGGACAGTTTCAACAGGCAGAAAATCAGTAAGGGTGTAATTTATCTCAACAGCCCCATCAATCAATTAACTGTAACTGACATCTGTAGACTACTCATCCAAAAATGGCATCACACATTCATCTCAAGCTCACCTGGAACATTCACCAAAGCGGACAACATTTTGGGCCATAAGATACACCTTAAAAAGATAAAAAATCATCCAATGTCTGCTGTCAGACCATAGTGGAATTAAACTAGAAATCAAAAACAGAAAGACAGCTGGGAAATCCCAAAATACCTGGAGATTAAACAACACACTTCTACATAATACATAGGTTAAAAAGGAAATCTCAAGAGAAATTTAAAAATGTCAACTAAATGAAAAGGAAAATACAACCTATCAAAATTTGTGGTATCCAGTGAAAGCAGTACTTAGAAATTTATAGCATTGAATGCATATATTAGATAAGAAAAAAAGGATCTAAAATAAATCATCTAAGCCTCCACCTAGGAAATCAGAAAAAGTAGAGAATATCAACTAGAAAAAGTAAATCTGAAATAAACAAAAGAAACTAAAAGTTCAATGTTTGAAAATTAATTAAGGTACTCCATCACCAACAGGCTAAAAAAGACAAATCATGATTATGTCAAATCCACGAAATGCACTTGACAAAATCTAACACCCATTCATGATTAAAAACTCTTGGCCAGGCACGGTGGCTCATGCCTGTAATCCCAGCACTTTGGGAGGCTGAGGCGGGTGGATCACAAGGTCAGGAGTTTGAGACCAGCCTGGCCAATAGGGTGAAACCCCGTCTCTACTAAAAATACAAAAATTAGCCAGGCATGGTGGCAGCCACCTGTAGTCCTAGCTACTCGGGAGGCTGAGGCAGGAGAATCACTTGAGCCCAGGAAACGGAGGTTTCAGTGAGCCCAGATCGCATCACTGCACTCCAGCCTGGGGGACAGAGTGAGACTCTGTCTCAAAAAAAACAAAAAACAAAACAAACAAAAAAACAACTCTCAGCAAACTAGTAATAGAGGAAGCTTCTTCAATTTAATAAAGAACATATACAAAATACAAGTATAGCTAACATTATATTTATAGTGGTGAGAAACTTGAAGCTTCGCCACCAAGATCAAAAAGCATGCACGAATGTCCCCTCTCACTACTGCTTTTCAACATCATACTGGAAGTGCTAACTAATGCAATAAGACAAAAAGAGTACATAAAAGGTATACTGATTGGAAAGGAAGGAAGAAATAAAACCATCATTGTTCACAGATAACATGATCATCTTTTATAAAATGTCAAAAAGAATCCATACAAAAAAACTCCTGGCTAGGTGCAGTGGCTCATGACTGTTATCCCAGCACCTTGGAAGGCCAAGGCAGGAGGATCACTTGAGCCCAGAAGTTGAAGACCAGCCTAGGCAACATAGTGAGACCTTGCCTCTACTAAAGTATTTTTTTTTTTAATTAGCCAGGCATGGTGACACACACCTGTACTCCCAGCCACTCAGGAGGCTGAGGCAGAAGGATTGCTTGAGCCCAGGAGTTGGAGGCTGTAGTGAGCTACTGCTGGGAGCCAAAAATGCCAAAGGGACCGTGACCAACTCAGCATTCCACTGGTGGCTATATGATCAAACAGCAAACTATTTATCATGAACGCAGGACGTGGGCAAACTCACACTGCACCTGCTGCTAAAAGGTTTCCTGAGGACCATCACTCCCTGGCGCTGGGCTCCTTGAAGTTATCTACTGGGAAATCTAGCACCTATTGTTCGAAGGATGCAGTCTCACAAGCCTGCTGTGAACCAAACAGGCTGACTGATAATTACTCAACAATCACCCTCTCTTTCTCGTTATCTCTTTTACCTAATACATTCAGAGGGCTGAAAAAGCTCAAGGACCCTGTCCACTAGAGGCAAGGTGCCCCCGACCCCTTCTTCCAATTATACTCTTTTGTCTTTGTCTTTTATTCCCACGTTCACCCCCTTTGTTCAGTCTCCCAAGGTCCATGCAGGCTACAAGTACTGCCCCAAACAGCAACAAAATCGGGTGCTCAACAAGCTACAATTGCACATATGATTGTGCAACTGCATGCCAGCCTAAGCAACAGAGCAATACCCTGTCTCAAACAAACAAACATCTTGAAGGGACATCTGTTCTACTTCTTCTTGTTTGGATAAACAGCTTGTGAGAGGCTTCTCAGGAGGCAAGTCTAATCTCATAGGGGCATGACACTGGAAGTCTTTTTCTGCCTCATTCTCCACATGGTCTTGATCTCGCTTATTTTTGTCCTCTTCAATTCTGCTTTCTCCCCTTTTCTTCCCCCAGAACTGGCTTCTCTCCTTTCTTTCTCTTTTTCCACTTTCTGTCCTTGTGTTTGTCATGATTGTTTTTGTCTTTGAAGAGGCTGGAGCAGTGCTCCAAACTGCCCGTGGAGAGCTCAGTAACTGCTTTCCCTCCTACTTTGAGGACCAGCTTCAAGGGCTTTTCCACATACTCTTTGTAGAGGTGCTTCTCTGACTTGTGCTCCTTGCCCATGTCTGACCAGGCCCTGGTGCCCACCTCCCATGCCAGGCCCAGGCCTTGGGGTGCCACTTCTGGTCCAGGCCAGGCGAGGTGGAGGACAGGAGCAGGGCCTACCAAACCCCGCACGCCAATGCAGGGGGTTAGCATGTGTGCCAGGTGGCACAAGGCCCCTCTTGAGAAGACAGCCCATGAGACCTAGCTGGGGCCTGAGAACATGAATCAACTGATGAGACAGCTGCAGAGAAAAGATCCAAGTGCTCTTTTCGTTTTCTGTGATTTTATTGCTCCTGGCTACTCCATCATCATTAAACACCCAATGGATCTCAGCAACATGAAAGAAGAGATCAAGAACAGTGAAGAACTAACGGATAACTTCAAACCAATATGTACTAATGCCATGATTTACAACAAACCAGAGACCACTTATTATAAAGCTGCAAAGAAGCTGTTACACTCAGAGATGAAAATTTTTAGCCAGGAAAAAATTCAGAGCCTGAAGCAGACCACAGACTTCATGGCTAACTTGAAAAAACTTGAAAGCAGAAAGACAGAACAGACATCTCACAGAGTGGGGAGGATGGAGGCTGCTGGCTGAGAGAGAGAGAGAGAGAGAGAGGACTCTGGAGATGCCGAAGCACAAGCCTTCAAGAGTCCCAGCAAAGAAAATAAAAAGAAAGACAAAGATATGCTTTTAAGTTTAAAAGCAGTAATTTAGAGAGACAGTAGGAGCAGCTTGACTGCATCATGAAGGAATCTGGAGGAAAACTGACCAGGTGGCTTGTTAACAGTCAGTGGGAATTTGAAAGAAGAAAACCAGATGGAACAAGAAGACTGGGACTTCCCCATCCTGTGGATCCCATTGTAGGAGAGCCAGAATACTGCCCTATGAGACTGGGAATGACAACTGGAAGACTTCAGTCTGGAGTGAATATTCTGCAGGGGTTCAAAGAGGATAAAAGGAACAAAGTAACTCCAGGGTTATATTTGAATTATGGACCCTGGAGTTCTTATGTACCGCATTATGACTCCACATTTATGAATATCAGCAAGGATAATTCAGATTTAATCTATGCAATCTATGGGGGAAGACTGATCTTCCAAGCAATTTCAGCAACCATGAGTTTCTGGCCCCATGCCAAGATTACCCATATGTTAAGACAGATAGTTTGCTGGATGTTTTAACAAAAGGAGGGGATTCCAGGGCCCTATAAGAGTTGGAGATATCACCTGACGATGAAGGCCATACTAGGACACTTGACACAGCAAAACAAATGGAGATTACACAAGTAGAGCCAGCAGGACATTTGGACTCTAATACTCAAGATAGGCTCATGGCACTGAAAGCAGTAACAAACTTTGGCGCTCCGGTTGAAGTTTTTGACTCTTGAAGAAGCTGAAGTATTCCAGAAGAAACCTGATGAGACCAACAAATTGCTCAGGGAGCTCCAGCTCAATGAGCATTTGAACACCTGACCCCTTCCCAATATGATGTCTCTTGGATCCCTCATACAAAGAAATGCATCTTGCTGAACAGGTGACCAATAATCTTAAAGAACTTGTACAACAAGTAACTCCAGGTGATATCGTAAGCATGTATGGAGTTCAAAAAGCAATGGGGATTTCCATTCCTTCCCCTGTCATGGAAAACAACTTTGTAGATTTAACAGAAGATCTTGAAGAACCTAAAAAGACACGGAGTGGACCTAGTGGGAGTTGAGGCCACCTGGTATTTGATTATGTATTATGTACATACTTTTCCATTCTTAACTTAAAAACGCTTTCACAAGATATCAAATATTTGTAAATTGTGCTTTTAATTAAACTTCGGAACAGTGAAAACAAACAAAAAACACCTTCCTGGAACTAATTATAGCAAGGTTACAGGATACAAGGTTAACACACAAAAGTCAATCATTTTTCAGTATGTCAACAATGAACAAGTGGAATATAAAAATTAAAAAATTCACTACCATCTATATAAGCAATCAAAAAATAAGATAGGTATAAATCTAACAACATATGTTCAAGATCTATATGAAGACAACTATAAAACTCTTCTAAAAATGTTCTAAGAAGAACTAAATAAATGAATAGATATTCCATGTTCATGGATAGGAAGACTCAATATTGTGAACATGTTGGTTCTTTCCAATTTGATCTATAGATTCAACACAATCCCAACCAAAATCCTAGCTTATTACTTAGTAGATTCAATGAACTGATTCTAAGTTTATATGAAGAGGCAAAAGACCCAGAATATCCATCACAATACTAAAGGAAAAGAACAAAGTTGGAGTACTGACACTACCCAACTTCAAGACTTATAATAAGGCTACAGTAATCAAAACAATGTGGTATTAGTGATAAAATATAAAATTAATCAATACAACAAAATAGAGAGTCCAGAAATAGGACACATAAATATAGTCAACTGATCTTTAACAAAGGAGCAAATGCAATACAGGGGAAAAAACAGCCCTTTCAACAAATGGTGCTGAACAATTGGACATCCACATGCAAAGAAAAAAAAAAGAAACTAGACACAGACCTTATATTTTTTACAAAAATTAATTCAAAATGGATCACAGACCTAAAACACAAAACTATAAAACTCCAAAAAAAAAAAAAAAGGTAGAAAATCTAGATGAACTTGGCTATGGCAATGACTTTTTAGATATAACATCAATGCTGAATCCATGAAAGGATGAACTGATAAGCTGGACTTCATTAAAATTAAAAACTTTTTCCCTCCAAAAAACAATGGCAGGAGAATGAGAAAACAAGCCACAGACCAGGAGAAATATTTGTAAAAGATGCATCTGATCTAAAAACAAACAAACAAAAAAAACCTGTTATCCAAAATGTACAAATAATAGGCCGGGCGCGGTAGCTCACACTTCTAATCACAGCACTTTGGGTGGCCGAGGCAGGCGGATCACTTGAGGCCAGTAGTTCGAGATTGGCCTGGCCAACCTAATGAAACCCTGTCTCTCACTAAAAATACAAAAATTAGCTGGGTGTGGTGGTTTATGCCTGTAGTCCCAGCTACTTAGGAGGCTGAGGCAGGAAAATCGCTTGAACCCAGTATGCGGAGGTTGCAGTGAGCCGAAACCGCATCACTGCACTCCAGCCTCGGCAACAGAGGGAGACTCTGTCTCAAAAAAAGAAAAAAAAAAATCATACCTACATAATGAAGCTTACATTTAAAAAAAAATAATAATACTAGGTCTACAGAACTTCTAGACAGCTGAATATGTGGAAGTTCCCTCCTGAAGGGTGGCACCCCTGGAGATGGCATGGGATCTCCACATTCCTTATCTCATACCTTCCCCTATGCATCTCTTCAATCTGGCTGTTCATCTGTATCTTTTCTAATATCCTTTATAACAAATGGGTTAAGTGTAAGTAAAAAGCTTCTGAGTTTCAGCAAGTTAATCAAACCCAGGGAGGGAGTTATGTGAACTCTGATTTATAGCCAGTTGGTAAGAAGCATTTGGGACTTGAAATTGGCATCTGAAGTGGAGGGCAGTCTTGTGGTAGTGAGTCCTCAGTCTGTGGGTTCTGACGCTATCTCTACACATACAGTGTCAGGATTAAATTAGAAGACAGACACCCAGATGGTGTCTGCTGAAGAATATGCAGAACTGACTGCCTGGTGTGTAGGGAAACAAATACCATACATGTGGTGCAGAAGTACTGTGCTGAGTGGAGAGTAGAGTGGGAAAAATGCATCTTTGGTTTTTCCTATATCACTACAGCGGCTTTACTCATAATTGCCAAAACTTGGAAATTATCAAGATGCCCTTCAGTAGGTGAAGGCTGTGCATGTGTGGGGATATGGAGGATATGGGAAATCTTGGTACTTCCCATTTAATTTTGTAGTCAGCCTAAAACTGCTCTAAAAAATAAAATTCATAAATTTTCAAAAAGTTATCACAGGTGGGGCCAGGCGCGGTGGCTCACACCTGTAATCCCAGCACTTTGGCGGGACTAAGGCAGGCAGATCATGAAGTCAGGAGTTCAAGACCAGCCTGGCCAACATGTTGAAACCCCGTCTCTAATAAAAATACAAAAATTAGCTGTGTGTGGTGACACGCGCCTGTAATCCCAGCTACTCAGGAGGCTGAGGCAGGAGAATTGCTTGAACCCAGGAGGCGGAGGTTGCAGTGAGCCAAGATCACGTCACTGTACTCAAAAAAAAAAAAAAAAAAAAAAAAAAAAAGTTAACACAGATGCTTCTACTATAATACAAATATATGCATTCCTGGAAAACCACTGGAAAATCATGCACTAAACTGTGATATACCCAGAAAGCGGAACATTATTCAGTAATAAAGAAAAATGAACTATCAAGCCATGAAAAGATATAGAGGAAACTTAAATGCATACTACTAAGTGAAAGAAGCCAGTTTAAAAAGAAATGGTTTGAATAGTATGTACTATATGATTCCAATTACATAACATTCTGGGAAAGGCAAAACTATAGAGACCATAACAAGTTCAGTGGTTGCTAGGGGTCCAATGGGTTGAACAGGCAGAGCACAGAAAATTTCTAGGGCAGTGAAACTACTCTGCATGATACGATAATGGTGGATACATGTCATTACTAATTTGTCAAAACCCTTAGATTGCACAACACCAGGAGTGATCCTAATATAAACTATTGGTTTTTGAGTGTTAATGGTGTGTCAATATAGGTTCACTAATTATAAATAATGTACCCTAAGGTACAAAACATTGATAGTGGGGGAGGTTGAGCACGTGTGAAGATATGGAGGATATGGGAGATCTTGGTACTTCCCATTCAATTTTGTAGTAAATGTAAAACTGCTCTAAAAAGTAAAGTTAATAAATTTTTAAAAAGTTAACACAGGTGCTTCTACTATAATGCAATATAGACATTCCTGGAAAATCATGCACTAAAAATAATAGGGCGTATGGAACGAATAGGATTAAAAACACTCAATTCAAACTGATGCAATTTTAACTAGTGCACTAACAAAAACAGTGACTCAGGAGATAACTTGGACAGTCTGAACAGGTGGTCACAGTGATATTTTAAAACCACATACACACACAGTCAAAATGCTGGCGGTACTTTAATTAGAGGTCTGGTGAGTGTTCAGATGATATAGGTGGACTCTGTGATATAGGGCTTGCCGTGCAGGTGGAGTAGGAGGGAGCATAACCTGGCGTGAACTGAAAGTCTATAAAGAAGGAAGTGCACTTCTCAAGGAAGAGCACCCAAAGGGCAGGTACTCTTTTACAATTTTCTTATGTAAGTTGGAAAAAGCTTCTGCTAATGTAGTAGGTAACCCTAAGCCTTTTGCTTTGCTGGCCAAATATTTTAATTTTATTCACCATATTCTAACTCCCCTTGCCTGGGGAGTTGGTGGGGGAAAGCACTTATGAACCAATCTAGAAAACTAAGCAGACATCATTCTCCTATTTACCAATTGTGTATGAGCAAATTTGCACCATAGAAATGTGTTTTGTAGCAAGACAAGCTGTAGTTGAAACTCTATGTGAACTTAATCATATAGAAAAACAAAAATCTGAGGTCAGATGTTTTAATTTCTACATTTAGTAACATCTTTTCAACCTTTATCTGCCTTCTCTGACTTTTATACAACGGTTCCCTTTCTATGGAAAAACACTTGCTTGCTTTCCTTTCTAGAACAACTCCCTCAGGCTCCTTCACAAGTTGTGCTCTTCTGCTACCTTCTAAAATGCTGCTGTTTCCTGTTTCTAGTTCTGGATCCCATTTTCCTCTCATTGCACAAATCCTCCCTTGGAATACCTGATCATGCCCAAGGCTTTAATAACCACCCACCTAGACTGACAACACCTAAATCTCTTATCTCTGGCTCAGACCTGCACCCACAAATATTACCCTCATTCTTCACTCAACCCCAAATTTACAATGTGTAAGTTTAACTCACTATTTTTCTCCTCTAAACAGATCCTTAACATAGTAATCTCTATAAACCAATCAATTGTTGCTGTATGAAATTAGGCAATCATTCTCTCACCACATTAAATATGTCATTAAATCTGGCCCATTTTACCATGGCTTGGTCATACAGATGTTTAATCAACAGTCTTCTTCTCATTCTGACCACTACAGATAAAATTCAAATGTTCACATAACTTTTGGACTATTGAGACAGCTTCCTGACTGGTTTCCCTGCCTCCAATAACATCTACCTTAAATCCAATCTCTATTATGCCATCAGAGTAACCAAACTAGGATACTTTGGAGGTGAAAGATGGCACTATTAATAAATTTATAAGCACAGCAGGCATAAACTGGGCCAGCCCTAAGCAAACCTTTACACCTCAGGTCATTGATATCACTCGGCCCTTGCTTACCTCTTCAACCACATATCTACCACTACCTTTCTCTCACATTACATTTCATCCACACAGAATAATTTGTAGTTTTCCAAATGCATTATATTTCTCATCATTCCTTTAAGCTTCTCCATATGCCATACACTATGCCTCAAAACACTATTCCTTCACCCCCTTCACCTGGCTCAATTCATTTAGTTCATCAGGTTCTCAAACTAGATTATCACTTCCTACAGGAAGCCTGGCCAGGCTTTTGGAAGATTAGCTTCTATGTTCATAGCTGGGGTTCCCACAGCACTTCATACATAAACCCTGTGCGAATCAACACACTGCAACTATCTCTTGTCTGTGTTCTCCATTAGACTACACATTCCTTGAGGGCAAAACCAGCTTCATTCACATTTCTATTGCTACAGCATAAATGGAACCTTATCCATAGTTAAGATAAACAATTTTTAAGGAAATGGATAAATATATTTTTTGGTATACTCTCTCTGTAGGGTTTAAGTTCCATAAAGGCAGAAACCATTCTTTGCTTTTGTGTTCCCAGAATTTAACACATTAGATGTTTAATGTTTTGTTGAGGAGGCTCATTTGCAAAGGTGGGATTCATTTTATTAAATGTTCATTAGTACAGACTTGGTGGTGGAAACAAACCAATTGAAGAAAAAATAGAAAAAAATGATATAAATGGAAAGAAAAAGAATAAAATGGAAAGAAAAGAAATGATGCAACAATGAAACTTAATAATAGTAACTATTATTTGGTTGATCTTTCCAAGGTACACATATATACAGAAAGAAGAGACCTCTTTCTTCTCCAATTTAAGTAAAGAAAAAGGGTCCTTCATATTTGGTTTATTCCACAAAGTCCTGTTAACCACAGATGGAAATTTAGGTATAAATGGAAATACAAACTATTCCTTGGCTCTACCAATCTACCATTAGAACTATCCAGAAAGTTTGGATTTTAGAATAAAGACATGGTTCTCATTCTCTACCTATGAGACTGAGTGATATCTACTTCTAAGGTCATCTTAATTGTAAGGTTAGTCAAATTTTTAATAAGAAAATAGAAGTTACTTATTAAGAGTATGTTTTCCATCTATAAATTCATTTAAAAATGTTACTTTTATTTTACTGACTTATTTACTCTAGAATACACATTAATTTCAATAATTATTATTAAAAGCATAATTTTCTTTGTCTAGTGTCTATAGAATTAGGATGAATATGTTATGGATCAGAAAAATGTACCTATACAAAATGCTATGCATAAAAAATTACATCATTCAAAGATCCAAAGTTAAAAAAATCCTTCGCTAAAGAAATATTTTATTACTCTATCTGCTGTTTCTTCTAACCCTCACCATTTTATTGGCTCTCTGTATCTATCCATTGATAGAAGTTTATCTTATATATTTATCATACCCATTTAGTATTAAGATTTTCCTTGTATTCTCTTTTACAAATTGCTCTCATCTTTTAAAATCAGATTTCTCAATAATATTTCAATTCCTCACATACTTCAAAATCCTACTAATATTTTTAACAACCCCTTTTACATATCCTTCCAAATACTAATATTTTTATTTGTCCTTGCACGCTGGCTTGGAGAGCCCTCTACTGGCCTGATGCTGTGTCAAAAGAACATTTGCTTCATCCTTCAGATACCTATTTTTTACATGCTTTCGATAATATGATAATTATATAATTAAAGCCTTTATTCCGAATGACAGAATGTTAAAGAGAAATTGAACAATTCTACTAAAATGCTGTTACCAAAGCAAGATACACTACTTCCATAGTATAGAAATACCATTTTCAAATAACTGTACATTATTCTCAGTACTCATTATAAAGCCTTGCTATCATGTGACAGAAGTCCAAGATGAGACCAAATTATAACATGATGTATTCATAACTAAAGTATAAAAGGCAAGTTGGAGTCTCTATGTTAAATGCCTCTGGCCTCAAGAAAATCTGATAGTTATTTTCTCATCAATATTTCCTGATTTTAATATACCAATGTCTCTAGTATTTATAAATATCACATTTGAAGATATGATGAAGGAAACAATTCCACTTAACTTAAAATCTAGGAATAAAGGCCGTAATGAAGAGAACAACAATAACAACATCCACAAATAGAAGTATATACCACCACAAAGTTATCAGGCCTCACTTTAGATCCCAATAAGTACGCCAACAGTCTTTTTCTTTGGGAAATAAACCAATATAAAGTTTATATAAAAATAAACATGCAAACAAGTTTTAAAGGAAGCTCTTTTTAAAACTGAGTAATAATTAAGGAAAGTAGCCATTCCAGTCATATAAATTTTGTTAACGGGCCTCATAGACTCTATATCTGTGTTCCAATTAGACTATACTCTCCTTATGGGCAAAATTAACCTCATTTACATTTCTATTCATATGGCGTAGACACTGTCTTACCTACAGTGAATACAAATAAATTTAGAAGGAATAGACAAACTTGTTTTCCTATATGGTCTCTCCCTCTGTAAGTTTTGAGATCCATGAAAGCAGGAACTATTTTTCACTTTTGTGACATCAGAATTTAACACAGTGGATGTTATGTCACTGTTTGGTTAAATAGGCTCATTTGTAAAGGTGAGATTCATTTATAAAATACTCATTAGAATCAGACCTCATTGTAGAAAAAATTACATAGAGGAAAAGGAAATAATAATATAAACAAAATATTGAGACAAAATTGGAAAATTTATTTTCAAATTAAATTATAGACAAAAAGCTAATTTCCTTTATATATACAGGGCTCCAAAAAACAATAAGCAAAAACCTACAACCTAACATAAAAAATGATCAAAGGATATGAAAAGAAATGTGAATGGGCCCTTAAATTTATAAAAAGAAATATAACATCACTCTTAAGAGAAATACATATTAAAACCATATGACCATAAGGAGATAAATCTCCCCTTTCTTTTATATAGACCTACTAGAAGGGCAAAAATCCAAGTTTAATAACACACTCTGTTAGCATGGCTGGGAGTTGGGGAGTGGGACGGTGAGAGTTCTTATACACTGCTCTCCTAAAGAGCAATTTGACAGTATCAGTAAAAATCACAAACTCAATACCTAGAAATTTCACTTCTGGAAATGTAACTTACAAGAATATCTGCATATGAGCAAAACAGTATTTATAAAAGGTTATTCTTTACAGCATCATTTACAATAACCCTAAACTGAAAACAACTCAAATTTTGATGAGTAGGGGGCAGGTAGAATAAATTATGCTATCTCCATAAAACAGAAGATCGTGTAACTGCAAAAGCAAGGGAAAGGGGTGTTATCTAGGTAATGATAGAGAAATAATCACTGTGTGTTATATAATTGTATATAACATTTAAAAAAAAGCAAGGTGCCAGATAATGTACATATTCTTATATTTTTTTAAATGCAGAAGAAGGATAAAACACACTTATATCTGCTTGTGATATGCATCAACTCTGGAAGGGATACACCAGAAACTGACAACAGTAGTTCCTGTATGTGTGTGGAGAGGGGTGTGCAATCTGGACAGATGGAAGGCTGTAGTTGGACACTCTTTGCCACACATATAAATAAATATAAATCATGTGAATACATTATTAAGTTGATTTAAAATGTCCTTATATTACAAGGTAAGTATATTATTAACACAAGCTTTACTACTAAAACAGCTACAAAATCCTCTGTAATCTTACCTGCAAACTAGCCACATAAGAATCCTCACAATTTACATAATGTCCTAACATGGCATGTTGAGCCCGTAATTCATTATCCCTTATCCTCTCATGCAGGTGGGTAATTTGTTGCTTCTGCCTGCAAAACATAAATTAAGGTCACATTATGAGTTATAATTTTCTAATAGTTAGAAGAACCTTAAGGAGCTTATTCCTCTTAGATTCCTTTAATATTCCTCTTAGATTCTAACAGTCACACCTTGCTTTCTTCAACAACTCATAGCTTGCTTTAAGCAAGTTATTTAATTTCTGTAAATATGTATGCTTAGAAATTTTAAAACTGTTTTGTGCCAGGCATGATGCTAAGAGCTTTGTATGCAGTATCTCTCATCTTCAAAAATTTATTAACTCTCATGATGAAGTTTTGAAGGAGAGAGCTTTTAAAGAATAATAAAGATAGTATGAGTAAACAAATAGCTTGATGTTTTCCAAAATTACTTACAAAGTAACTTTTGGAACAAGTAAGTTGTATGTTTCAGGTTGCATCAAAAGACCTTGTTCTACTCAGGATGATTTCTAAAATTTGCTAACCTTTAAGAAAATCCACATATAAAACATTAAATAGGAGATAAGTCAGGAGAGATTCGTCATATAACACTTTTCAAATAATTTAAAGCTTTACAAGAAAGAAAAAAAAAAAAACCCTTCCTTTTCCAGCCAAGGTGCAGTAGCAGGCAGGGACTAGTTTTGCCCTCATGCCTGAAACAATTTTTTAAAAAAGACAAAATATAGGAAGTGAAGACTCTCAAGGCATTGGGCCACCAGGCAATTAAGAACAGTAATCTCTTAGAGATAGGTAACTAATGAGGTGGGCCCTATGACTGACTGCACTTCCTGCTGAGAGAGTTTTCAAGCCCCAGCACAGGAATGGTGGTCTCCCTGAATTGAAGACACAAAGCTGAGAATCTGGAGAAACCAAGGCAGCTGTAGTTAGTTCACAGTACTCGATAACCCTTGGGCACTCGGTTGAATACTAATTAATACAGGCATGAGGAAGCTACCGACGGTGTGTGTAGAGTGGAAGGGCAACCAAAAAAAATATTACAGGGAACAGTGCTTCAGGGTGCCTTGGAATTACTGGCTATTCCCAACTGCCAGAATAAAAAGCTTCATGATTCCCAGGGCATCAGCAATTCTCAACTGGGGACAGTTTTGAAACCAGTTAACATTTAGCAACATCCAGAGACATTTTCAATTTTCACAACTGGGGCAGAATGTTACTGGCATCTAGTGAGCAGAAGCCAGAGATGCTACTAAATGTCTACAATGAACAGGATAGCCACCCTCAATAGTGAATTATCTGATCCAAAAAAAATCAACAGTGCTGAGGCTGAGAAACCCAGGGTTTGTAAGATGAGTCTTGTCTCAGTGGGGAAAAAATAACCCTTGATAAAACAGCTCTAATGCCACCTAACAAAACTTAAAAGCAAGTACAAAAACTGCTTCCTAGAATAAAGTTCAGGAATACAAAAATGTAATATCAAAAACAAGTTAAAATTCATAATGCCTGGCATCAAAAAATTATTGGGAGTACAAAAAAAGCAGAAAAAATGTAACTCATAATAATAAGAAAATCCAATCAACTGAAAGTGAGCTAGAACTGACAGAGATGTTAAAATAGACAAGGATAGTAAATCAGTTATTATAACTATTCATATGCTTAAGTTAGAAGAATGAACGAACATGTTAAGAGGAGACATACATGACAAACAACACACTGAATGGTGATTAAAACATTAGACATTACAGCACAAAAGTACAGTAAATTTAAAAACAGCAATAGAAACTATCTAAAAAGAAACACTAGAGAAAAAAGGACAAAGAAATAAAACAAAAAAGCTCATAGTATCAGTGAGCCGCGAGATTATAAGAGGCCAAATACATGTACAATTGGAATCTCTAAAGAGGAGGTAAGAAGGTGGCAGGGGGTGGGAGTAGGGGACAGAAAAAAAATATTTGTGTATAACAGGCCAAAATTTTACCAAATCTGATGAGAACTATACACCCATAGGTTCAGGAAGCCCAGTGAACCCCAAATAAAAGTAACATGAAGAAATCTAAGACAAGGTACATCTAAATCAAATAGATTACAGTGATAAAATCTTAATAGCAACCAGAGGGAAAAAAGATAAATCCATTCAAGGAGACAAAGATGAAGAGGATGGCAAATTTCTCAACTGAAATAATGCAATCAATAAGACAATGAAGTACTTTAAGTACTAAAATTTAAAAGCTCTCAACCTAAAATTTTTGACATGAGAAAAAATTTGAAAACAACACAAAAAGCATACAAAAAAAACCTGTTAACCTATAATACTTCACCCACAGAAAATATTTTTTTAAAGGTTAAATAAAGATCTTTTTTGGAAACTTAAAAGCTGAAAGAATTGATCACCCCAGACTTCAACTACAAAAAAAATGATAAAGGAACACCTTGAGGTAAAAGAACAATATACCAGATGAAAACCTGAATTTACACAAAAGAAAGAAGAATACCAGAAATGATAAACACATGGGCAAATAAATACATAAGATATTTTTCTTATTATTTAAATCTCATTAAAAGATCATAAATTGTTTGAGGCAAAAAAAAATTTATATCCACGTTGTATAACCTTTGTAGATGTAGAATGTATGACAAAACAGCTCAAAGGCTAGAAGAGAAAAAAATGGAACTATGCTTTATAAGATTCTTACATTATACATAAAATAGTATAGTATTACTTGAAGATAGACTGCTATACTTTAAAATATATTATAAACTCTAAAGCAATCATTATAACAATAGAGGTATAGCTAACATGCCAATAAAGAGATAACAGGAATTGTAAAAAAATATTCAACTAATTCAAGAGAAGGCAAAGGGGAACAAAGATCAGATGGGACAATAAGAAAACAAATAGCAATGCCAGGCACAGTGGCTCACATCTGTAATCCTAGCACTTTGGGAGGCTGAGGCAGGTGGATCACTTGAGGTCCGGAGTTCAAGACCAGCCTGGCCAGCATGGTGAAACCCCATCTCCACTAAAAATACAAAAATTAGCTGGTCATGGTGATGCATGCCTGTAGTCCCAGCTACCTGGGAGGCTGAGGCAGGAGAATGGCTTGAACCTGGGAGGCAGAGGTTGCAGTGAGCTGAGATCGTGCCATTGCACTTCAGCCTGGGAGACAGAGCAAGACACTGTCTCAAAAAAAAAAAAAAAAAAAGAAAACAAATACCAATATAGGAGATTTAAACTTGACCATATCAATAATCACAACATGTAAATGGTTTAGATACTCCCAAACAAAAGGCAGACATTGGCAGAATGGATAAAAAGTAGGACCTAACTATATACTATCTACAAGAAAGAAAACCATTCTGAACATAAGGACACAAACAGGTTAAAAGTAAAAAGAGGAAAACCTGTGCTAAAAATAATCAAAAGAGAGCCAGAGTAACTATATTAATATTAGTAGAAGCAGATTTTTTTTTTTTCTATTTTAGAGACAGGGTGTCACTCTGTCACTCAGGCTGGAAGGCAGCGGTGTGATTAGAGCTCACTACAGCCTTGAACTCTTGGGCTCAAGCCATCTTCCTGTCTCAGCCTTCCAAATAGCTGGGACTATATATAGGATCCACTGTGCCCGGCTAAGTTTTTTTTTTTTTAATTTTGTGAAGGTGAAATCTCACTATGTTGCCCAGGCTGGTCTCAAACTCCTGGCTTCAAGTGATCTTCCCGCCTCAACTTCTTGGTGTTGGAATTACAGATGTGCGCCAACTTGCCAGGCCAAAACAGATTGTTAGAGCAGAGAATATTGCCAGGGACAAAAATTATAACTTAATAATAATAAAAAGATCAATTCATTAAGACGTCATGACATTTGGGCCTAAGAGCACAGTGTCTAAATACATGAAGCAAAAAAACTGATAAAACAGAAAAGAAACAGATACATCCACAATTGTAATTGGATAT
Organism: Homo sapiens; assembly: GCF_000001405.40. Lineage (NCBI taxonomy): Eukaryota > Metazoa > Chordata > Mammalia > Primates > Hominidae > Homo > Homo sapiens. The sequence goes on from NC_000006.12 coordinate 118,515,293, forward strand.
TTTGACACCTGGATCTCAATAATTGACATTAATAGAACAAGTAGACAGAAAATCAAGAGAATATAAAAGACAAAAACACTATCAACTGATTTGTACTAAAAGGAATTTCTAGAATACTCCCCACAAAAGACAAAAGCAGCAGAATACACACCCTCTTCAAGGATACATGAAACACTTATTAAAACAGATGATCTTCTGAGCCATGAAACAAGCACCAACAAACTTAAAAGAATTCAATTCATATAGAATATATTCTTGGACCACAGTGAAATTAAATCAGAAAACAATTACAGACAGAATTCTAGAAAATCCTGAAGTATTTGGAAACAATGTAACATAATTGTAAATAACTTTAGGGTCAAAGAAGAAATCAGAAGATAAACTAAGTATTTTGAGGTGAACAAAAATGAAAACCAAACAAATTAAAATTTGTAAGATATTGATAAAGAAGAACTTAGAAATTTATTTTTTATTTTATTATACTTTAAGCTCTGGGGTACATGTGCAGAACGTGCAGGTTTGCTACATAGGTATACACCTGTCATGGTGGTTTGCTGCACCCACATCATCTACATTAGGTATTTCTCCGAATGCTATCCCTCCCCAAGACCCCCACCCCCAGATAGGCCCTGGTGTGTGATATTCCTCTCCCTGTGTCAGTGTGTTCTCATTGTTCAACTCCCACTTATGAGTGAGAACATGTGGTGTCTGGTTTTCTGTTCCTGTGTTAGTTTGCTGAGAATGATGGTTTCCAGCTTCATCCATGTCCCTGCAAATGACATGAACTCATCCGTTTTTATGGCTGGGCATAGTATTCCATGGTGTATATGTGCCACATTTTCTTCACCCAGTTGTATCATTGATGGGTATTTGGGTTGGTTCCAAATCTTTGCTATTGTGAATAGTGCTGCGATAAACATACATGTGCATCTGTCTTTATAGGAGAATGATTTATAATCCTTTGGGTATATACCCAGTAATGGGATTGCTGGGTCAAATGGTATGTCTGGTTCTAGATCCTTGAGGAATTGCCACACTGTCTTCCACAATGGTTGAACTAATTTACACTCCCACCAACAGTGTAAAAGTGTTTCTATCTCTCCACATCCTCTCCAGCATCTGTTGTTTCCTGACTTTTTAAGGATCACCATTCTAACTGGTGTGAGATGGTATCTCATTGTGGTTTTGATTTGCATTTCTCTAATGATCAGTGATGATGAGCTTTTTTTCACGTTTGTTGGCCATATAAATGTCTTCATTTGAGAAGTGCCTGTTCATATCCTTCACCCACTTTTTGATGTGGTTGTTTTTTTCTTATAAATTTGTTTAAGTTATTGTAGATTCTGGATATCAGCCCTTTGTCAGATGGATACATTGCAAAAATGTTCTCCCATTCTGTAGGTTGCCTGTTCACTCTGATGATAGTTTCTTTTGCTGTGCAGAAGCTCTTTAGTTTAATTAGATCCCACTTGTCAATTTTGGCTTCTGTTGCCACTGCTTTTGGTGTTTTAGACATGAAGCCTTTGCCCATGCCTATGTCCTGAATGGTACTGCCTAGGTTTTCTTCTAGGGTTTTTATGGTTTTAGGTCTTACGCTTAAGTTTTTAATCCATCTTTAGTTAATTTTTGTTTAAGGTGTAAGGAAGGGGTTCAGTTTCAGTTTTCTGCATATGGCTAGCCAGTTTTCCCAACACCATTCATTAAATAGGGAATCCTTTCCCCATTGCTTGTTTTCATCAGGTTTGTCAAAGATCAGATGGTTGCAGGTGTATGATGTTATTTCTGAGGCCTCTGTTCTGTTCCATTCGTCTATCTGTCTTCGTACAAGTACCATTCTGTTTTGGTTACTGCAGCGTTTTAGTATAGTTTGAAGTCAAGTAGCGTGATGCCTCCAGCTTTGTTCTTTTTGCTTAGGATTGTCTTGGCTATCTAGACTCTTTTTTGGTTCCATATGAAATTTAAAGTAGTTTTTTCTAATTCTGTGAAGAAAGTCAATGGCAGCTTGATGGGGATAGTATTGAATCTATAAATTACTTTGGGAAGCATAACCATTTTCACAATATTGATTATCCCTATCCATGAGCATGGAATGTTTTTCCATTTATTTGTGTCCTTTCTTATTGCCTTGAGCAGTGGTTTGTAGTGCTCCTTGAAGAGGTCCTTCATATCCCTTTTAAGTTCTATTCCTAGATATTTTATTCTCTTTGTAGCAATTGTGAATGAGTTCACTCATGATTTGCCTCTCTGTTTGTCTGTTATTGGTGTATAGGATTGTGATTTTTGCACATTGATTTTGTATCCTGAGACTTTGCTAAAGTTGCTTATCGGCTCAAGGAGATTTTGGGCTGAGACGACGCAGGTTTCTAAATATACAATCATGTCATCTGCAAACAGAGACAATTTGACTTCCTCTCTTCCTATCTGAATACTTTTATTTCTTTCTCTTGCCTGATGGCCCTGGCCAGAACTTCCAATGCTATGTTGAAGAGGAGTGTGAGAGAGGGCATCCTTGTCTTGTGCCAGTTTTCAAAGGGAATGCCTCCAGATTTTGCCCATTCATTATGATATTGGCGGTGGGTTTGTCATAAATAGCTCTTATTACTTTGAGATACACTGCATCAATACCTAGTTTATTGAGTTTTTAGCATGAAGGGGTGTCGAATTTTATCGAAGGCCTTTTCTGCATCTATTAAGATAATCGTGTTGTTTTTGTCATTGGTTTTATGTGATGGATTACATTTATTGATATGCGTATGTTGAACCAGCCTTGCATCCCAGGGATGACGCCGACTTGTTTGTGGTAGGTAAGCTTTTTGATGTGCTGCTGGATTCGGTTTTCCAGTATTTTATTGAGGATTTTTGCATCGATGTTCATCAGCAATATTGGCCTGAAATTTTCTTTTTTTGTTGTGTCTCTGCCAGGTTTTGTCATCAGGATCATGCTGGCCTCATAAAATGAGTTAGGGAGGATTCCCTCTTTTTCTACTGTTTGAAATAGTTTCAGAAGGAATGATACCAGCTCCTCTTTGTACCTCTGTTAGAATTTGGCTGTGAATCTGTCTGGTCTTGGACTTTTTTTGGCTGGTGGGCTATTAATTACTGCCTCAATTTCAGAACTTGTTATTGATCCATTCAGGGATTTGACTTCTTCCTGGTTTAGACCTGGGAGAGTGTACGTGTCCAGGAATTTATCCATTTCTTCTAGATTTTCTAGTTTATTTGCGTAAAGGTGTTTATAATATTCTCTGATAGTAGTTTGTAATTCTGTGGGATCAGTGGTGATATCCCCTTTATCATTTTTTATCACATCTATTTGATTCTTCTCTCTTTTCTTCTTTATTAGTCTGGATAGCAGTCTATCTATTTTGTTGATCTTTTCAAAAAACCACCTCCTGGATTCATTAATATTTTGAAGAGTTTTCCAGGTCTCTATCTCCTTCAGTTCTGCTCTGATCTTAATAATTTCTTGTCTTCTGCTAGCTTTTGAATTTGTTCGCTCTTGCCTCTCTAGTTCTTTTAGTTGCGATGTTAGAGTGTCAATTTTAGATCTTTCCTGCTTTCTCTTGTGGGCATTTAGTGCCAGAAATTTCCCTCTAAACACTGCTTTAAATGTGTCTCAGAGATTCCGGTACATTGTGTCTTTGTTCTCATTGGTTTCAAAGAACATCTTTATTTCTGCCTTAATTTCATTATTTACCCAGTAGTCATTCAGGAGCAGGTTGTTCAGTTTCCATGCAGTCGTGTGGTTTTGAGTGAGTTTCTTAATCCTGAGTTCTAATTTGATTGCACTGTGGTCCGAGAGACTAAATGCCTATACCAGAAAAAAAGAAAGCTCTCAAATTATCTCAGCCTCCACTTTAAGAAGTTAGGGGGAAAAAAAGGGCCAGGTGTGGTGGCTCATGCCTGTAATCCCAGCACTTTGGGAGGCCGAGGCGGGCAGATCACGAGGTCAGAAGTTCGAGACCAGCCTGGTCAACATGGTGAAACCCTGTCTCTACTAAAAATACAGAAATTAGCTGGGTGTGGTCGCGGGCTACTGGGGAAGCTGAGGCAGAAGAACTGCATGAACCCGGGAGGCGGAGGTTGCAGTGAGCCAAGATCGCGCCACCGCACTCCAGTCTGGGTGACAGAGCAAAACTCTGTGTGTGTGTGTGTGTGTGTGTGTGTGTGTGTGTGTGTGTGGCGGGGGGGGGTTGTGAAACTCCGTGTGCGTGTGTGTGGCGGGGGGGTTGTGAAACTCCGTGTACGTGTGTGTGTGTGTGTGTGTGTGTGTGTGTGTGTGTGTGTGTGGCGGGGGGGGGGTGTGAAACTCCGTCTCAAAAAAACAAGTTAGAAAAAGAAGAACAAATGAAACCCAAAGTAATAAATAGCCCTATGTATATTACAGAAATTGGGTTTTTCGTTGACCTTTCAATACAGAAAGATCAGGAGGGTCAGGAGTCTTCACTGAAGAATTCTGCTGAAAGTTTAGGAAATAAAAAATACTAGTTGTACACAAGGTACCCCAAAAACCAGTGAATAATTCCCAACTCTATGAGGCCAGCATGACCAATATCTAAACCAGATAAATACATTACAAGAAAAGAAAAATACAGACCAATATCTCTTATAAATATAAATGTAAAAATTCTTAACAAATGGAATCCAAAGATAGATAAAAAGGAAAATACATCATAACCAAGCGGGTATATCCCAGGAATAACATGGTAGGTTTTACATCTGAAAATTCATCAGCTACCTAGAATAGAAGTAGTTTCCACAATCTAAAAAAGGCAACTACGAAAAACAGCTAACATCACACTTAATGGTGAAAGGCTGAAGACTTTCACCTAAAACAAACTAGGGACAAGAGAAGGAAAAGGATGTTTACTCTCACTGCTTCTATTCATCACTGTATTGGAGGCTCTATTTACTTCAGTAGAAGGCAAGAAAAGGAAATAAAAAGACTCTATACTGAAAAAGTAAATCCACCTTTAATCACAGACAACATGATCGTTTATGTAAACAATCCTATTGAATCTACAAAAAAATACCTACTTAAACTAATAAGTGAGATTAGATTGCAGGATACAAAACCAATTTTATTTCTATATATTTAAGAACGTTTTGAAAATATGCATTTTTTAATCGACATAATTGTCATATTTGTGGGGTATAATGTGATATTTAGATACATGTATATAATGTATAGTGATTAAATTAGAGCAATTAGCATATCCATCATCTCAACCTTTATCATTTCTTTGTGCTGTTAACATTCAAATTACTCTCTTCTAGCTATTTGAAAAAAATATAATTATTGTTTATTATAGTTACCCTATAGTGCAACAGAACACTAGAACTTCTATCTAGCTGCAACTTTCTATTCCTTAACCAACCTCTCTGTATTCGCTACTTCCCCCAGCCTTCCCGCCTCCAGTAACCACTATCCCAAACTCCACTTTTACGAGCTAAACTTTCAAAAAACTTCATTTTTGCTTAAGTGGTGAGACTCCTTCACCCAGTCAGTTAAGGAGATCGAAATGCAAAAGGTCAAGCACTACTCAATCACCTAAATGGTTATAGTGGCAAATGTTTTTCTGAATTGTTCCTGAAGTTAATCTATACACTTTTTCTCATGAGATGGGGAGCATTTAGGAACAGTTTCTATAGCAGTTATTTTTCCCATTTTCTCTGCTTTAACCTAATAATCCAGTCTCCTCCTATGAAAGTTATACGCAGTGTGAAAAAAAACACATTTTTTCTCATGTAATTTTGGATAATATATTTTCAGAAGTAATATACAACATATAATTTTTACTTAAGTGATTTGAAAGGTATCGCTGACCACACCATATCCCAAACTAAAAAGTTCGGCAGGTTTACTTTCAATTCCATCCAATTGGACACCAAATCCCATGAAGTCTGGCTCTGAAATAGCCTCTACATGTGCCATCAACATTTTAAAGGCCATTACTCTCATCTGCTTCTTCAAAAACAGAAATGTTATATATTTGATTCCAATTTAAGTACTATATATGTTATAGAAATTTGTATATACAAACATTTTTACTTTTAAATGACAGTTATGCTGCTTTAGAAACAAAAGCTGCTTAGTTTCTCTTCTGTTTTATACAATATCAAATGCACTGATTATCAAAAACTTTATAATAAACTCATAAAGAAACCAAAGATTATTTAAGATACTGGGTAGGTTATTTACTAAAATGCCTCCATTATTACCCTTCCTATATTACTAATGCCTCCTGTCAACGTGATTTTGCTGTTTCCACTGGCCAGAAGTGAAGTCCACTACTGGTCTAGTGACTAACAGAATATAATGGAAGTGATGTTGAGCCAGTTCTGAGTCTAAGCTTCAAGAGACTTCGTATGCTTCATTCTTTCTTAGAATCCCACCCAGCCACCACTCGAACAAACCCAGGCTAGCCTCCTGCAGGATGACAGAACATGTGGAGTAAGACAAGCCATCCTGCCGTGGCCCATCCTATGCCACCCAGCCCCCACCTGCTACCACAGACGCATAAATAAGCCTAGCTAAAGAATTAGCCAAATGAGCAACTTGAGTTATTTTGAATTATTCCTTAGTCTGATTCTACAATATATAAAATTGAGAAATATATATTTTATTATATTATGTCAATAATTTTCTGCATTTTCTATTAACTTATATCCAATGGAATGGTATTCAAAAAAAAATAACATCAACTGATTTCCATTGTTTGAGGGAGGGCAAATCCATGTAAGTAAAACTGAACTTTAGTCCATTTTTTAAAAGTATTAATTTCAGGCCGGGCATGGTGGCTCACACCTGTAATCCCAGCACTTGGGGAGGCAGAGACTGGTGGATCACCTGAGGTCGGGAGTTCGAGACCAGCCTGACCAACATAGAGAAACCCCGTCTCTACTAAAAATACAAAATTAGCCGGGCGTGACGGCGCATGGCTGTAATCCCAGCTACTTGGGAGGCTGAGGCAGGAGAATCACTTGAACCCAGAAGGTGGAGGTTGTGGTGAGCCGAGATCATGCCATTGCACTCCAGCCTGGGCAACAAGAGCGAATATTAATTTCAATTATATAAAATTGCACCTATATTAAATTATAGGTATTAAAAATACACATCCAACTGGGCCTGTACTTATTCGTATATAACATTCACTTGTACCAGAAACAACTAATATTTTTAAGTAGCTTTTTCCTAAAATCAATTAAAACTATCTTCCACAATCCTTCATTTATCAAGTATGGAAGTATCAAGTTTTAAGGCATATACTAATACCAGGCTCTTTTCAAAATGTTGGGAATAGGCTGGGCATGGTGACTCATGTTTGTAATCCTAGCACTTTGAGAGACCGAGGCAGGTGGATCACTTGAGGCCAGGAGTTCAAGACAATACTGGCCAACACGGCAAAACCCTGTCCCTACTAAAAAATACAAACTTTAGCCAGGTATGGTGGTGCACAGCTGTAATCCCAGCTACTCAGGAGGCTGACGCACAAGAATCACTTGAGCCTGGGAGGTGAAGGTTACAGTGAGCTGAGATGGCACCACTGCACTCCAGCCTGGGCGACAGACTGAGACTCCCAAAAAAAAAAAAAAATTGGGGGAATATAGTGGAGAACAAGAAAATGCAGATATCTGTGGTCTAGTTTATATTCCAGTAGATCTTCATTAACAATGCTAAATTTCTAAGCAAAATCTTGTGAAATTTCAACTATTAAATGCGTTTAAAGGTTGAAATTAGAATTTTAAGGCTAAAACACCTACTGCGTTATCCTATGCAAGCATATGAAAATAAGTAATTACGAGCACTGGTTAAGAAAAAAAGCCTCCTGGAATTGCTTCCCAATTATCATGATATACAACATATTTAATTATCCCAAAAGCATACATAAATGATGTAGAATATACGTTAAAGAAAATATAATGATGTAACATGAAGGTTTACTGCTCACAATACTCAGGAGACTGTCTATTAAGTATAAATAATTTTTTTTCAGAGCTTAGGTACTCAAACCCTTAAACATTTTAGAACGTCCCCCAAAACTGCCATAATTCTTAACTATAAGTCATTTCATTTTACACATTCGTCATTTTTGTAGTTTCTGTGGCTTCAGACCTAGCATACATTAAAGGAAATGACTGCTTTAAATTAGCTTTCCAACTGGATAGTTCTCAAGGGTTAAAACACGAAGACATTATCTTGTAGCTCTAATAGCTGATTAGCATTGCAGCTAACCCGCTACACGTACAGAAAAGACAGAATGGAGCTTCCAAATAATGAAATAATTCACTAAAATGAATAGGAGGGATGACAGAAATCAGACAGATAAACCATCAGTTCTAACAGTACTTCTTTAAAGGATTGGGATTGAGGAGGGGCAGAGATGTGACATCAATGAATCTGTAAGGTTCTAGATCTTAAATTCTATGTAGTGGACATAAAGTTAATTGTTTCATTAATCTAAATTTCTGTAGGCCTGAAATATTTAATAATTTAAAATAGACTCACCGATCGATTACAATTTCTTTCTGCCTTAGAAGTCCTTCTTTTATTTTCAACATTGATTCCCACTTACTGAAATCCTGATAGCCAGGTGAATAACTTTGACGAGATGATCCAGTCAAAACCTGCAGAAACATGTTTACACAATTAGTATACTAAAATATTTAAAGAAAATATTTATATATTATCATATTTTCCCAAAGATTTATATTAAAAAAAAAGAACTCCCTCTTTGATTTTTTAATACTTTCGGAAATCACACTATGAATACAACATAACTTGGACAATTTCAAGGAAGTTCTAAAGGAAATGTATACATCTAATGAAGAATTAATGACAACAGAACGTTTATCCTGGCAAATTATAAAACTATATAAGATCTTGGCCAGGCGCGGTGGCTCACGCCTGTAATCCCAGCACTTTGGGAGGCCGAGGTCAGGAGATCACCACCATCCTGGCTAATACGGTGAAACCCCATCTCTACTAAAAATACAAAAAATTAGCCAGGCGTGGTGGCAGGCGCCTGTAGTCCCAGCTACTCGGGAGGCTGAGGCAGAAGAATGGCGTGAACCCGGGAGGCGGAGCTTGCAGTGAGCCGAGATCACGCCACTGCACTCTAGCCTGGGTGACAGAGCAAGACTCTGTCTAAACAAACAAACAAACAAACAAAACCATATAAGATCTTATTCCCATTACCTTGTGGAAGTGGAAGTGGAAGTTTTCTGGAAATGAGATTAATCATTAAGGGAGTAATACAATGTAGGAATGTGCCATGGCTTAACTAGACAAACATTAGCAGGAGATTTTCCACAAGAAAATAAAAGCAGTATCTGTAGTATTCAGACTTCAAGTTGACATGCATCACATCATCATTTAGTTACATTAGAATTTCAAAATCACAAATATTTTCACTCAGTAGTGAGACAACCAAATGCCTAGGCAGATAAAAAGGGGTCCTTGGAGAATCTCTGACCCACTCCACAAGTGTGCAGATGCTTCTGTGCAGATGAGGAAACCTGCCCAGGGCTCATGTGGGCATGCCCATAGCTGACTGGAGCCCAGCATGCGTTCTGGGGGAAATGGGTGGAGCCATGGGGAATTCCTGCCTTATGCGGGGGAGGAGCCTGCTCTCTTCAGCTCACCTGGTGACCTGGAAATCAATCTGTGAGGTGGAGGACCTGTTAGCAGGGCTCTATCTTGCTTTGATGATTGTTTGTTTGTCTGTTTCTTTTTTCCTTTTCACCCAATAAATTCCTTTCCAATCACCCTTCAAGGTGTCTGCATGCCTAATCCTCCCTGGTCGTGTGACAAGAACCCAATTTTTTTCTACAACAGTAGTAAGTATATCCATAGAAAATGGAAAATATATAACCATCTACTAAGTAGATAATTTGGATGAAATATATCACTTAGAAAAAATTGCTTAGAATGTAAGAAAGGTTTCAGATATTTAAATAAACCAACGGTAGAAACTAACATGGCAGATATCCTTATATTTCTTCCGTTGAAAAAGCAGCAAACATTTAAAAATATTGGTGTTATAGGTTTGACTGTATTCCTTAAAAAGATAAGTTGAAGTCCTAACCTCTTGTAACTTCAGAAAGTGATCTTATTTGGAAATAGGGTCTTTGCAGATGAGTCAAGCTAAGATGAGCTCCTTAAGGTAAGGCCTAATTCAATGTTTGGTGTCCCTAAAGAAAGGGGAAATTTTGGACCTACGTACACAAGGAAGACTATGTGAAGAGACACAGAGACAATGCCATGTGAATATCAAAGTAGAGATTGGAATGACACATCTACAAGACAAGGAAAGCCAAAGACCAAAAGCTAGGAGAGAGGCATGGGACAAATTCTGCTTCACAGTCATCCAAAGGAACCAACTCTGCCAACACCTTGATTTCTAACTTTCAACTTCCAGAACTGTGAGACAATTTCTGGTGTTTAAGCTAGCTCATTTGTGATACTCTGTTATATCATCTCTAGGAACCTAGTATAACTGGTAAATCAAATAGGAACACAGTTCTTTGGCAAGCCAAAAGATGTATAAACACCACAAAGCAACTTCAAGAGAATTCAAATGTGTAGTGATATTTTTATCCTTTACTTTCCAAAAATGCTATTAATAAGACCTTCAAAATAAACCAGTAATTGCATAACATCAACCAGTCACAGATTAACTCTTTGAGATGACTGTCAAGTAATATTAGGATGGGATGTTTCATGCAGGAGACAGGATAGGATGAACAGACTAAGGATAGAGATCAGTTGAAAAGAAGGCACATACTTTTGTCAGATGGGAAGATATTTCAAAAGTGACACATAGTGTTACAGGGGCAGGTTAGACATCTGCCTCTGAATTTCATTCTCTCCCTTGCCTAATATACAATAAGGGCTGATATTCAGCCAGTATGCATCAGTACAGATAATGTTAGCTGTTAGAATACTGAAGTAGTTTCACTGTGGTTGGTAACTAACTGCTGTTTACACCACTGTGCGGACTGTCTCTTTCACTGTCCAGGCCACTCTCCAGAATGCCCCATGATCCAACAAATAACACAGTTACTCCCCAGCACAAGTGACCTTCAGGACCCCGCTCCATCCATAAATAGGCATCCTTTCTGATTAGCTAGTTCTTGTACAAGTCAGTCCCGCAAAATCTTCCCAGTTAAACACTACCTACAATCTTATTTATACTTAATTGGCAGAGCTAACATTCAAACCCAGGCAGCCCAACAAAGGAGCACCTGATCTTAAGGACCACATTATTCCACTGCTTCTACTATTGAGACAGGTTTGCAGCAGAACTGGTTTCACAAGATACAGGTCACAAAGACCTGGCTTATAAAATAGGATGGGGTAAAAAAGCTGGCCAAAACTTGCCAAAACCAAGACAGCCATGAAAGCGACCTCTGGTCATCTTTACTTCTCATTATATGCTAATCATAATACATTAGAATACTAAAGTAAACTCCCACCAGTGCCATAACATAGTTTACAAAGGCCATGGCAAAATCCTTAAGTCACCCTATATGGTCTGAAAGGTGAAGGAGAATTCTGGGAATTCCTTGCCACTTTCCTGGAAAATTCATGAATAATCCACCTCTTGTTTAGCATATGATCAAGAAACAGCCATAAAAATAGCCAACCAGCAACCCTCAGGGCTGCTCTGCCTGTGGCGCAGCCACTGTTTCATTCCTTTACTTTTTCTTTTTTTTTTTTTTTTTTTTTTTTTTAATTGAGACGCAGTCTCACTCTTGTTGCCCAGGCTGGAGTGCGATGGCGCGATAGAGCTCACCGCAACCTCTGCCTCCTGGGTTCAAGCGATTCTCCTGCCTCGCCCTCCTGAGTAGCTGGCTGTAGAACCATGCCCAGCTAATTTTGTATTTTTAGTAGAGACGGAGGTTTCTCCATGTTGGTCAGGCTGGTCTTAAACTCCCAACTTCAGGTGATCTGCCCGATTCGGCTTCCCAAAGTGCTGGGATTACAGGCATGAGCCACCGCGTCCGGCTCTACTTTCTTAACAAACGTGCTTTCCCTGTACTGTCGGCTCGCTGTTTTCCTTCCCGCACAAAGCCAAGAACCCATGTGGCCTCCCAGGCTGAACCCTAGTTTTGGGGTTTTCCCTGTGGCACTATGGCCTAATTAGGTGTTCCAAATTTCATCATAAGGACTAGAAAACTGTTTTGAAAGTAACTGTTCTCAGACTGTGAGAAAAAATTTAACACTATAAACAATATTATTAACAGAAACTCTCTACTTAATGAAACTCCGCATTACCTACTGATTATCAATTTAATGGGTAAGTCATTTGATAAAATCTCTTTTGTCAAACTGTGGCTCAAACAGGAAATTTATTAAAGCTAGTAAAAGCTAAACAAAAGAGCATTATCACTAATTCCAAAACTCAAAGTAGGATTTGGAAATGCTTAAAATGATGTGGTGAATTATTAAATCTGCTATAATTTATAATACTAATATTTCATTTACTTGGGAGATTAAAAATAAATATCTATTTTTATTTACCTACTGAGTTATACATTATTTAAATCCTAATAACAGTTGACATGTACTTTAAGTATTGGTTTTTGTATATTATATTATTTTGTATATTATTAGCATGCCTAACAAAAATCTTCTAGGCTAGATTAAGGATTTATGGTCTCCTCTTCCAAAGATCTAAAATAGGTAGATTCTCTATTTCCAATGACCACACACCAGCAGTCATCCACACCATATTATTTGAAGCTATATTTCACCTTATACATCTTGTGCCTATTTCAGTAAGACAAGTACCTAGGCAACAGATGATGATCTTCTCAAGAAGACATTAACACTATTTTACTCTTCACAAGTCATCTGCTAAAAAAAATTTCCCATGGCTGACAATTACCTTAAGAAAGTGGCTTTTCTTTTCTTTTTCTTTTTTTTTTTTTAACGTTTCTTGGCATCAAGAAAAAGATTAAACAGAAGGAACAACTAGGCATAAAGAGAAACAGCAACTGACAACACTATTTGCTTTCATAGCACTTTGAACCATTGGCAGGATGGACTGCTAAAGTACTTGCCAAATACTTCCATAAATATACACAAAACAAAATATGAGAATGTATTATTCTGTGTTGTAACTCCCTTGATCTAAACCCTTTAGAAATAAACAAAAATTGAGAGCTCTGAAACTGGGAAAACAGGAATAAAGAAAAAGGATTCCTTTCCCTGTAATTAAGATACAATATATTTAAAATTTACCAAACCAGCAGCAGTCTTCCTTATGATAGTCTTCCTTACTAAACTTAAACCCTGATTCATAAAATAGTTAATAGAGAGAACAAAACCTGACATCCTACCAAACGCTGTAGGTTGACTTAAAAGTAATTTTTTAAATCCATGTGTATCTACCTACCTCTAAACATGACAGTTACGGAGACATTTTACCTTCTAAGGAGAATGGCTTTTATAATGAAGCCAGCATCTATACTACATTAAATGAAGTTATAGAATGGAATTTGAAGTACCTAGCAAAATTCAAGAATAAAAAAATCATATTGTGAAGTCTCAAACAGCAAGGCAACTATACCTTTATGATTTTGCATTCTCTATAAACAACTGATACACTACTAAAGGCATACAGAAAAGGAACAACTAATGAAAATGTATTTTCATTATAATTGACAGTCTAGGTTCCAGTCTTGACAGAGCTAAAAGAAAATCTGATAGAAATAACACAGAATCATTTTGCACTAAATGTGGAAATAAATCAGGTATCTACCCCGGAACCATTTATCTTTTGAAAGTCCTAAACAAAGGTGGAATAGTGATAAGGGAATTAGATGTGTTCAAATTGATTCTTCCTCACATTTCCACATTACAATCTTACAGAGAAGTTATTCAAAAACTGTCAATTTAATGTGTCTGCAAATGTTAAAGGTTTTCTGCCTTTATTTATAAGACAAAATTATCTTCTCTTACACATTTGATGAGTGTTTTTATATGTATCACATAGGCTAACAACTTATAAAATCTTACTAGTATCAGCCAGGCATGGTGGCTTGTGCCTGTAATCCCAGCACTTTGGGAGGCCAAGGTGGGTGGATCACAAGGTCAGGAGATCGAGACCATCCTGGCTAACACTGTGAAACCCCATCTCTACTAAAAATACAAAAAAATTAGCTGTGCATGGTGGTGGGCATCTGTAGTCCCAGCTACTCGGGAGGCTAAGGCAGGAGAATGGCGTGAACCTGGGAGGCGGACCTTGCAGTGAGCCGAGATCGCACCACTGCACTACAGCCTGGGCGACAGAGCGAGACTCTGTCTCCAAAAAAAAAAAAAAAAAAAAAAAAAAAATTCTTACTAGTATCAATTATCTATTAAGTTTCAAGTATTATGCCCAAAAGCAGTGAGGAGAAAAAGCCCTTTCCCTCTGACTATGATGCCATAGCAACTTTGAGTATACATAAATATCTACTTTTAAAGTTCTAGATGGCACTGTCTTAGCTTTAGTACATTAATATATGATTGTGGAAAAGGAGGAAAGCCAAGCGCAATTGCCTTAAAACCTTCAGACTAAAAGTTATTGAAAATGAAGCACAATATAAATGTTAATGTTTTCTTTTGTTTTATTATAGACCAGGAGCTACTGTGGCTTGCAAACTATGTTCTTGCACAATACTGGCTAACATGAAAAAATAGATGCAGAGTGACAGTATCACTCTTGGATGTAATAAAATCCAGGCCAAAAAAAATCATTAAATAAAAATAAAGTTTTATAAAACTTTATAAGGTAAAAGATAAAAGTTACCACGAAGATAAAATAATCACAAATGTTTACACATTTAATAGCATATCTCATATGAGAAAAAACTATTAAGAATAAATGGAGACATAAACCCACAATCATATTACCAACTTTAGCACACCTCTAAGAAAGACACCATGTAAAGTGGGGATCCAGTTCACTCTTTTTTTTCACAGCCTGCAAACTAAAACCGGAATTAATATTTTCAAATGGTTGAAAAAAATCAAAAGAAAAATATTTTGTGCAACGAACTAGGCATTGAAGGAACATACTTAAAAATAATAAGAGCCATGTATGGAAAAAAAAAAAAAACACAGCCAAGATCATACTGAATGGGCAAAAGCTGGAAGCATTCCCCTTGAAATCCAGAGTAAGACAAGGATGCTCTCTCACACCACTCCTATTCAACATATTACTGGAAGTCCTAGCCAGAGCAATCAGGCAAGAGAGAGAAATAAAAGGCATACAAATAGGAAGAGAGAAGTCAAACTATTTCTATTTGCAGACTTTATGATTCTATACCTAGAAAACCCCATAGTTTCTCTCCAAAAGTTATTTGATCTGATAAACTTCAGCAAAGTCTCAGAATACAAAATCAATGAACAAAAATCAGTAGCATTCATATATGCCAACAACTTCCAATTAAAGAACACAGTCCCATTGACAATAGCCACAAAAAAGAATAAAATACCTAAGAATACAACTAACTAGGGAAGTAAAAGAGCTCTACAACAAGAATTACAAAACACTGCTGAAAGAAATGAGATGATTCCAAAAAAAAAAAAGGAAAAACAACCCATGCTCTGGATAAGAAAAATCAATATTGTTAAAATGTTCATACTGCCAAAAGCAATTTACAGATTCAATGTTATTCCTATCAAACTACCAATGACATTCCTTACAGAAGTAGAAAAAACTTGTAAAATTCATATGGATCCAAAAAACAGCCTGAATAGCCTAGGCAATTCTAAGCAAAAAGAATAAAGTTGGAGGTATAACGTTACCCAACTTCAGACTATGCAACAAAGCTACAATAACCAAAGCAGCATGGTACTGGTACAGAAACAGACACACAGACCAATGAAACAAAATAGAGAGCTCAGAAATAATACCATTCACCCACAACCACCTGATTTTCATCAACGTCAACAAAAACAATCAAAAGAGAAAGGAAAGGACTCCCTGTTCAATAAACAATGCTGGAATAACTGGCTAGCCATACACAGAAGGCTGAAATTGCACCCCTTCCTTATACTATATACAAAAAATCAACTCAAGATGAATTAAAGACTTAATTATGAAACCTAAAACTATAAAAACCCTGGAGAATAACCTAGGAAATACCATTGTGGACACAGGCCTTGGCAAAGATTTCATGATGAAGACTCCAAAAGCAATCACAACAAAACCAAAAGTTGACAAATGGGACCTAATTAAACAAAAGAGCTTCTGCACAGCAAAAGAAACTATCAACAGAATAAACAAACACCCTACAGAATAGGAGAAGATATTTGCAAACTATGCATCCAGTAAAGGTCTAATATCCACAATCTATAAGGAACTTAAACAAATTTACAAGCAAAAAACAACCCCATTAAAAAGAAGGAAAAAGACATGAACAGACACATCTCAAAAGACAACATACATGCGGCCAGCAAGCATATGAAAAAACATTCAATATCACTAATCATTAGAGAAATGCAAATCAAAACCATGAGATACCATCTCATACCAGTCAGAATGGTTATTACTAAAAAGAAAAAAAAATCAGAGGTTGGCGAGGTTGCAGAGAAAAGGGAACACTTATACAGTGTTGGCAGGATAAATTAGTTCAGCTACTGTGAAAAGCAATTTGATGATTTCCCAAAAACTCAAAGCAGAATTACCATTTGACATGGCAATCCCATTATTGGGTATATACCCAAAGGAATATAAATCATTCTACCGGAGACACATGCACAACATGTTCATCGCAGCACTATTCACAATAGCAAAGATATGGAATCAACCTAAATGCCCATCAACAGTAGACTGGATAAAGAAAATGTGGTACTATGTATATACATAGTGTATATACTATGTAATACTACATAGCCATAAAAGAATAATATGTCCTTTGAAGCAACATGGATGGAGTAGGCCATTATCCTAAGAGAACTAACATAGGAACAGAAAACAAAATACCACGTTTTCACTTAAAAGTGGGAGCTAAACATCGAATACACATGGATACAAAGAAAGGAACAACAGATACCAGGGCCTACTTGATGAGGGGGGCGGGTGGAAGGATGGTGAGGGTAAAAAAACAACTACCTATTAGGTGCTATGCTTGCTGCCTGGATGACAAATCATTTGTACACTAAACCCCAGTGACATGCAATTTAACCATGTAACAAACCTGGTTATGTACCCCTGAACCCCAAATAAAGGTTGGAATAAAAAAGTTTGAGAGCAAAAAGTAAATAAAACTGTACTGTGTTTTATACCATAACAATAAATCTAAAGATTTAGATGAAATGGATCACTTTCTAAGAAAATATCAATTACCAAAATTAACTCTTGAGATAGAGTATCTGAATCATCATAGAAAGGATTGGGGGAAAAGTAAGTCTACTCCTAAAATGAAGTACTGATTTTTTGGATGGTTTCTACCTAAATCTAAAGAAAATATAAAACAGTAGAAGAAGAAAAATTTTGAGAAAGGTAATAGGGCTAGGCTTGAAAAATAATGAAGCATGTTATAAATTGACAGTATTTAAAACAATAATACATCTTAAAGCAAATACAGAATTCAAATTAATACAATACTATCATTTTGGGGGATCACTGAGATTAAACAACACACTTCTAAATAATACACAGGTTTAACTGACTGAAAATGAAAATATCAAAATTTTAAGGAAGCAGGTAAAGCAGTACTGAGAAGGAAATTTACAGCACTAAGCAGTTATATTAGAAAAAGGGAAAAAGCTCTCAACCTAAGCTTCCATCTTTAGAAACTAGAATATAAGCCCAAAGCAAGCAGATGGAAGACAAGAAGGCTGAGAACAAAAATCAATAGAGTTTAAAACAGAAAAAAACAGAAAAATCTATTCAGAAAGATAAGCTAGTTCATTGAGACAATCAATAAAATTTATAAACCATTACCTAGACTGAGAAAGAAAAAAAGAAGAGGCAAGTTATTAGGGAGTAAAATAGATATCACTACAGACCATCAGACATTAAAAAGATAAGGTAATTACTAGGAACAATTCTACACACACCAATTCAATAACTTGAATTAGACCAACTTCTTAAAAAACACAAACTTACCCAAATTCATTCAATATGAAATAATCTGAATGTCCTATAAACTATTAGAGTAATTGAATTTATAATTTTTTAAAAGCTCCCAAAAAAATCTCTAGGTCCAAATTGTTACACTGTAGGATTCTACCAAATGTTTAAAGAATTAACACCAATCCTCCACGAACTCAGAGGCGGAAAAAAAATGAATTATTTCCCAACTCATTTTATGAGTTCAACAATGCTCTGATAACAAAACCAGACAAGACAGTAGGAAAAAAGAAAATGACAAACCAACATCCATCATGAACATAGATACAAAAAACTTTAACAAAATCAAACCAAATCCAATCCAGACATAGAGCTATACATAGATAATACGTTTGGCATACGGTTTTCCCAGGAATGCAAGTTAAGTTTAGCATTTAAAAATCAATGCAAGCTGGGCGCAGTGGCTCACACCTGTAATCCTAGCACTTTTGGAGGCCGAGGCAGGTGGATCTCTTGAGGCCAGCAGTTCAAGACCAACCTGGCCAACATGGTGAAACCCCGTCTCTACTAAAAATTCAAAAATTAGCCAGGCGTGGTGGCTCATGCCTATAATCCCAGCTACTCGGGAGGCTGAGGCAGGAGAATGGCTTGAACCCAGGAGGCGGAGGTTACAGTGAGCTGAGATCTGAGATCACACGATTGCACTCCCGCCTGGAGAACAGAGTGAGACTCCGTCTCAAAACAAAACAAAAAAATCAATGCAATTTACCACATTAATAGACCAATTAAAAACCTACTAGAACCAATAAGTGACTTTAACAAGATTATACAATTCAGGGTCAATTTTTTTTAAAAAACCAATTATATTTCTATATATTAACAACAAAAGGGCAATTAAAAATGTATTATCATTTACATCAAAAACATTAAAAGCTTAGAAATAAAAATGTAATAAATTATGTGTAAGATCTGTACACTGAAAACTATAAAATATCACTAAAAAAACTGGCCAGGTGCGGTGGCTCACACCTGTAATCCCAGCACTTTGGGAGGCCGAAGTGGGCGGATCATCTGAGGTAAGGAGTTCGAGACCAGCCTGTCAAACATGGCAAAACCCTGTCTCTACTAAAAATACAGAAATTAGCTGGGCGTGGTGGCACATGCCTGTAATCCCAGCTACTCAGGAGGCTGAGGCAGGAGAATCGCTTGAACCCAGGTGGCAGAGGTTGTATTATTGACATAAGGATAGACAGACCAATGAAACAGAATAAAGATCCACAAATCTAATGATGCATAGAGTAAACTGATTTTTTAACAAAGGGGAAAGGTAATTAAATGGGAAATTGAATTTGGTATTTATAAATACCAAATAAAGGCCAGGTGCAGTCAGTCATGCCTGTAATCCCAGCATTTTGAGAGGCCTAGGCAAGTGGATCCCTTGAGGCCAGGAGTTTGAGACCAGCCTAGCCAACACGGTGAAACCCCACCTCTACTAAAAATATAAAAATTAGCCAGGTGTGGTGGTGCACACCTGTAATCCCAGCTACTTGGGACGCTGAGGCACAAGAATGGCTTGAACCTGGGAGGCAGAAGTTGCAGTGAACAACTGCAGTTACAGTTGAGCCACTGCACTCCAGCCTGGGCGACAGTACAGACTGTTTTCTCTAAATAAATAAATAATAAAAATAAATACTCAAATAAAACTAAAAACACGTCCACATAGAACCATAGGCAAATGTTTACTCATAATCATCCGAAACTAAAAACAACCCATGGGTCTGTAAGATAAACGGATAAAAACGGTACTACATCCACAAAACACAGTACTATTCAGCACACACAGGCACACACACAAATTTATAACATGCAACAACATGGATGAATCTCAACAGCAGCATGAAAAGTGAAAGAAACCACACTCAAAGGCTATCAACTATCTGATTCTATACATAGGGCTTCTGCAAAAGGCAAAACAATAAGAATCAGATCAGTGGTTGCCAAGCGGGGTAGAGGACTAACTACAAAGGGGCAAAAGGTAGCTTTCTGGAGTGATGGAAATGTCGCACACTTCTCTTGTAGTAAAATGATCCTCATATAATCGCAGTTTCACTTTCTCTGGTTTCAGTTACCCACAGTCAACCGTTGCCTGAAAATATTAATAATGGAAAATTCTAGAAATAAAGAAAATTCACAAATTATAAATTGTACTCCATTCTAAGTAGTGTGATGAAATCCCACACCATTTTGTTTCCTCTCACCCAGGAGGTGAATCATCCATTTCTCCAGCTCATCCACACTGTATATGCTATCCACCCACTGGCGTGTAGTGCCATCTTGGTTAAAGGACCAACTCTCAGTATCGCAGTATTTGTGTTCCAGTAATCCTTATTTTACTTAATAATGGCCCCAAAGTGCAAGAGTAGTGATGCTCTCATATTGTTATAATTATTCTATTTTATTATTAGCTATTGTTAATTTCTTACTATGCCTAAATTATAAATTAAATCTTATAGATTTAATTTATTAAAGGACTACTGTATACATTCTTCAAAACTCAAATTATAGCATTTTATGTAAATTTAATCTTTAAAAATCTTAAAAGTTGCATGTAAATTATACTTCAATTATCATATTAAAATTTGATTTTTCTAAAATTGTAGGTAAATGTTTACATATCTCCCACTCAACAACAGTAGAAGCAAAAAGAACTTATCATAATAAAATTGAAACAACCCAAATGTGTTAACAAAGGAATAGATAATTAATGGTGGTAGAAGTATACACTAGAATACTATATAGCAATAAAACAGAACTACTATTATACAAAACAACATAGATTAAATTCAGAGACATTATGCTAAACAAAAGAATGCTAGCACAGACCATACATAATCAATAATGGTAAGTCAGAACAGTAGAGATGGGTAGGATATAAGGTGTCACCATAAAGACTGAGAAGAGTCACAAGCTAAACCTACTGGGCATTAGAAATTTTGTATCCTGACCTGAGTGGTGATTATAAGGGGAGATGTATGTGGGTGTGTATTGGAATGGAGCTATTATTAAAGATTAATATTCCTATGTACTTTACTGTATGTTAGACATCAACAAAAAATATAATACAGGAAATACTTATACTTTATTTCACTTTCTACCTTAGAAGAAGTATTGAAGGGAAATAAAGGCCTCATCTGCTAGAAGAGAATCCTTAAGTCCCAAAGATGCACTATAGATGACAGAATGCACTGTCGTGGCTGTAAGTTCCTATCTCATCATCACTTTGGTGCAACTCCACATCTGCAACTAGCCATGAGATAAGAGAAAAGGCCAGATGACATATATACCCTACACCAAGAATGCATGGATGAAGAATGAAGTTGATAACAACCTACAAGCTGGTTCTTAGGCGCTGTCAGAACTCTAGGAGAACAAAGAAGCCTTCTATTAAGGCAGAAGACAATCCTGCTTCCTAATATAGAAAAGAGGAAAGGATTTTATATTCAAATAACTTCTCCCCTATATCCCTTTAGTAACACATTTTTTCCCAAGTAGTTAGAAAACAAGAATTTTTATTCAGTAAAGTCATAACTGGCTTTGAGAAGCATACCATTGCATGGCAGTTATATATTACTAGTAAAATATACATCTTGACAATATCCCAGAAAACCGAGGTACTTGTTTTGATAGAAAAACATGTATCAAAATTCACATATTGATAAATCATAAAATTACTGTTGCTATGCTGTTCTACTTAGAATTTCAAAGTAATCTATCATGTTTCTACATCACTGTAACCAATATAAGTAATCTAGAACATGTTAATTTAAGCATATAATTTATAACTTATTAATGACAAAACTTTGACATGAACATGCAATGTAAAAGGTAGTTATAAACCTTGTAACTATGTGAGTTAATTTGAAGAAACAAAGTATGCCATCAAAGTAACATTTCAAAATGTGTAAAGGTGAAACAGAGACATTTTTACAGGTAAACATTTTATATATATATTTAGTAGCTGCCAAACTCAGGGAGCACTGGGAAGGCCTCATTTAGATGTTTTACCTAAAAATGCATATGACACACTGTTCTCTACCCTAATGTAGGCATGTAGACCCTAACCATATAGATTTATAGACCCAGAAAATATACATAGGTACCTCTTCTTGGAAATGGCAGATTCCACTCTCAAAATTGAGTAAGGATAGCAGGCAT
Organism: Homo sapiens; assembly: GCF_000001405.40. NCBI lineage: Eukaryota > Metazoa > Chordata > Mammalia > Primates > Hominidae > Homo > Homo sapiens. Next base: position 118,537,579 of record NC_000006.12, read on the forward strand.
CTACAACAATCCCAAACACATGCTACTTAGATGAGATCCGGATACTATGAAAAGTTGCCAAAATATGTCACTTAATGGCCAAACATGCTCCTAATAAAAGTTTACTGTAGTGCAGCTGAAAATAGTTCAAAATTCTTTGGCCTGGACAAATACTGTTAAATTTAGATAATCCAGTGCTACCACACTTGACTGGAATACAACCTCTGCAATTCTTCAAGTTTGTTATCTCTCCTTCACTTGCCTTTGTCTCTGAGCTTATTCATCACTCACAACATGTCACGTAACACAGTAAATCTTCCTCTGTTTCCTGGAATAGTCTATCTGAAGAGATACTCTACAAGTGTTTTCTGGTAAGAGTCATACCTTAACTAAAAAGTAAATAAATTCACAAAGCTCAGTAATGAAGATGAAAATAATACAAATAACATAAAATTTAAAGAATCTTTATTCACCAAGAGAAGGAAAATATGAATTATGTTATTACTAAAAGAACTGTGCACTTAATATAAAATCTACGTCTTAACTAAGCCCATGTAATTATTTATGGAGTGCATTATTACGTATTTCTCTAACAACAACAAAAAAACCATTCTATCAGTCACCCCTTCCTATTATACTGAAGTCTGCATCTTGACCCTCAAAGTTTATATTATAGAAGAAACTGTTTTTAATAATCTAATTATTTCTTCAATGTGTTTTTGTTACTAACTCTGTAAGCTTTTTGACATCCTAATATGATTTACTGAAATAACAATTCAAGTAAATTGAGTTACTTGAAAGGTAAAAGACCCTGAAAAAATGATAAAAAGAAACTGATGATATAAATATATATATAAAAAACATCTTAAGAATGCATATGCATGAAGATAAAGGGAACTCAAAGTATTTCTGATTTCCAACATGCTAAACAACTAAATTACTATTATCTCTTTTCTTTTGGAGGGAGAAAAATTTTTCCTCTTAAAAATCAATCCAGTTTATATATCATCGGTTAGTATTATCATGTCTTTAAAAAATTCCAACAAAGAAATGAGCCATGCATGCAACATGATCTCATTACAATCATAGTACAAAAGTGAAGAGAAGAAATGGTTTATCCAAGACAGACAGTAACTTACTTTCTTTAAGCAAATCAATTAGAAGATTAGGTAAAACAAATGAAGCTTAAGTATTCAAATTAAGGTTAATCATGGACTTTACTTATAAAACAAATAGAATGTAATGTTTTCCAAGCATTTTGTTGCTATAATTTACTTTTTAAATTTTTAGATGAAATATAAACAGAATTTAATGAATCAATCCCTTGTAATTAACAAACCAGACAATAAAAATGGAAAAAAAATTAATGATATAATTGACAATTTATGAAACAGGTATCTATGAAACTGAAATAAAAGAAGTTTATCAAAATGAAGTACTTAATACAATATGGCTCTATTTTGGATCTTGCCCAAGGTTATGAATAGCAAATTTACTACACTATATAACCAGCTTCTACTAAAACAAAGCTATAGTACAGGTGCTAACATTTTAATTTATTTTAAAAATCAGACTAACAACATATATTTAATCAAGTCTTTATCATATTTTACTCTCAAGGGATAAAAATATTTGATAGTCATGCACTGCATAATAATGTTCCTGTAAATGCTGCACCCTTAAGATTATACCTCATTCTTACTATATCTTTTCTATAGATATATTTAGGTACACAGTAACACTGTGTTACAAATTGTTTACAGTATTTAGTACAATAACATTCTGTACAGGTTTGTAGCTTAGGAGCAAATACCATATAGCCTAGGCGTGTAGTTGTTAGTCGGCTATACCATCTAGGTTTGTGTAAGTACACTCTACGATGTTTACACAATAAAGAAATTGCCTCATTTCTCAGAATGTATTCCTGTCATTAAGTGACAAATATGTTAAGGGACCAAAGCACTGCCTACATTATCTTGAAATGTAGCAATGAATTTTTCTAAAAGGATATAAAAGAAACTATTTTTTACTTTTTTTTGTTAAATTTTATTTTAAGTTCCGGGATACATGTGAAGGACATGCAGGTTTCTTACATAGGTAAACCTGTGCCATGGTGGTTTGCTGCACCTATCAACCCATCACCTAGGTATTAAGCCCCGCATGCATTAGGTATTTATCATGATGCTCTCCCTCCCCCCAAAAAAAGAAACTACTAAAGGGAGCTATCTTGAGGGGAGAGGGAGCATGCTTTTACTTTCTATCAATTGGGATTTATCTGACTTTTCCTACCATTTACATATTACTTTTTTCTTTTCTATCTGTGCAGTTATGGGTCACTAATGTTTTCTTCTTTTATATGTTAAAAATATCATTTTTAAAATGGTCTCAGGAGTCAACAATAATCTCATGGTGAAACTGTTGAGTGGAGTTCAGACAGCTCCCTGTATATGTATAGGTCATAAAACAGGAACAAGTTGATTGCTGATGCCGATGTCTTTTTTTTTTTTTTTAAATCTCCAGAGTCCAGTTCATCACTGGCCTATAGTACACAATTAACAAAAAGAGGATGAGTAGCTAGAACACCCTAGGGATATTTATCAGCCTTGAAAAAAATCCAAAAGTATTTCCAACAGCAAAAACAGGTACTGTAATTAGCATACTGTAATAGTAATTATGGCAGTGGTTCCTTTCCTGTATCATGATAAGTTGGGTCTTATTCATTTGTGCCCTGATACTCAGCACAGCACCTGACAATGTTTATTAACTACTGACTGATATGAAAATTTGGAGATTTCTACAGAAGGTTACCATTTTGTTAGCAATGATATGTGTTAACAGTAAGAAATATCTACACTTAAAAGATTATAGCTCAAAGATCAGTATGCAAACCTATGTTTGATTAAAAATCATGCTTTCTGGCCGGGCACAGTGGCTCACACCTGTAATCCCAGCACTTTGGGAGGCCAAGGCGGGCACATCACGAGGTCAAGAGATGTAGACCATCCTGGCCAACATGGTGAAACTCCGTCTCTATACTAAAAATACAAAAATTAGCTGGGTGTGGTGATGCACACCTGTAGTCCCAGCTACTAGGGAGGCTGAGGCAGGAGAATCGCTTGAACCTGGGAGGCGAAGCTTGCAGTGAACCAAGATCACGCCACTGCACTCCAGCCTGGCAACAGAGCGAGACCCCATCTTAAATAAATAAATAAATAAATAAATAAATAAATAAATAAATAATGCTTTCTGACCCTTGCGGTCTAGCCTCATTTCAGTCAGACCTAGGGAAACTTCAACTAATCTGCACAACTAATTTTAGTTTGCTATTAATATAGAGATAAATTTGAAAGACAGTCTTCAATGGCCATACTTCGTTCTATTTTGGAAGTGTGAAGTTTCAGGAGCATGTTTTCATTGTCTAACATTCATTATACGGACTCATACTTATCCAAATATTGAATTTTGGGTTATGTTACTTTTTCAAGTTAGCTAAGGGAAAAAAAATCAATGTATTAATACTGGAGTCAACAATCAACTTTTCAGATATCCATAGTACCCTCAATTAAGCAATAAGCCCATTGAGAAAAGAATACATTAACGGGGCAGCCTTACAAATGACTTTGCCAAAGGCATCCTCTTGATCCTAATGTTGGTCCTGGAGCCCACTCATCACCTTTGACCAACTGAAGGGCAAATTAAATCAGCAGATGATGAGATGTTCATGCCCTTTTGCTATGCTATGCAAGCTTTTAATTTGGAGATGAGTTAAGGATGAAGTATGGCTTTCCTGAAATATAGCAAAACCATGTATAACTCTCAGTAGCGTAATTAAGTTGCCAGTAAAAAGTTACAATGCTTACATATCAGGAAGTTGGGTTTATTTCCACTGGAACATTTTTACATCTTTTGCTTTATAAAGTAAATATGAATTCCACATATCAAAATCTATTTTCATAACCTTCTCAAGAATGTATCTGCTGAAAAATCAAGGTTCAGTTCTAATTTTACTCTACAAACTTAAAGAGGGCTAACTGTGTAACTGAAGCATAGAAGCCATTATGTTTTAGAGGTTCTCCACCTGAAGCAATCAAGAACCTATCTTAAATGTTGATATTATCAAAGTCTTTAAATAAAAGCTCAGATCTACATTAAGGTAGGATTACCTCCCTCATCCTTAGAGCAGGAGCACTGATCAAAAAGCCACTTGATCTTAACTAAAAGTGCAATTTCTTTAGTTGCTTAGTTGGTACAGTCATGTCACTCAGGATGTTTACTAATTCAGAGTTTAATTCTCACCCCAAAAATGTATAATTTTAGCTCATTTTCTCAAAGAAGTTTCTCTAATTATAAGGAAATGTAACTGACCAAATCTTGAAAATTATTACATTTCAAAAACAAATCAAATTCATTTACAAGCCTGATCAGCCTTACATGAACTAATGTTTAGGAATAACAAGTTTACAGAACCAAGAGAAAAAAGAGAATTTAACAGATTTATTTACATAGATGGAATCACAGTGTTGTTTTTTAAGGTTTATAATGGCAAAAATTATATCCCCTGATATTCAATAAGAAAATTCACAAATTATGGTGTATTATATGCCAAACTCACATTTACATAGTAAAAATAAGACATTAAAATTTGTAACATATATTTTTAATAAACAGCACACAAAAATGCCCAAGCATATTTAAAATTATTCTCCAATGAACAGGTAATGTTTTAGGGTTTTTTAGAGTTTTTAAAAGCTTAACATGCCTGAAGATAAGGACTTTTTTTTTAAGTGCATTCCTTACCTAATAGAGTGCCTGACAACCAGTAAACCAGTAGTTTAAAGAAATGAATTAAGAACTGGCTTCTTGTGAAATTTACATGTTTAACAAAATTAGCTAAAATTAATAGCTACTTTCAAAATAACCACATTTTTCAAGCTAGTTTAGTATAATCAGAACATTTGGGCTTCAAAGAGACTTTAGAAATTAATTCGATCTGCCTTCCATTTATTTACGAGAAAACTACAGTACAGAAAGATTCATTTTCTGAAAATCATAGAGTAAGGTAGAGAGAGGACAAAAAAATGAGAATGACAGTTCCAATTCAACTCCTCATTAATATTCCTTGACCAACCTTCAACCACTCCAAAAATCTCTTATATTATGGTTACACAAAACTATGGAATGCCATTGTTTTGGACTGAGACTTAATAGCCCACGCCAAACCACAATGCAGTCACTCTGGTTTGTTTTGGGCTGAGTCTTAACAGACCAGACCAAACAAGAATGGAGCCACTCCTGCTAGGAGCCACATAACCAAACTGAACTTCAACATCACCAAGTTTTCCCAAAAAAAAAAAAAAAAAAAAAAACAGGATATTCACAGCAACCAATCAGAAAGGGCCCAGTTTACCTGAATTAGCATGATAAAGAAGTCTGTTTTAACCTTATAAGGAAAGTAACTTACAATAACCAATTCACTTTTTGTTCCTTCTTTCTTTAGCCTCTTTCTGCCTAGAAAGCCCACCTCCTCCACTTAGCTCATCTGATGGCCTATTTTTATAGAGACACTGCCCAATTCATGAATCATTAATCAAAGCCAATTAATTAAACTCAATTTGTTGAAATTGTTTTTTGATGTTACACACACGTCAAAGTGTGAACAAGTTAAAGAATTAAGTGCAAGAAAAATCTCAACTTTTCAGAGGCAATCATTAGGGACAAAGAAAATTAGTTTATCTAAGTTTCTGAGGGCCTTTATTCTCTCTTCTTTCAACTTATCCTTTTTAAGAGTTCACTTGTAATAGAAAAATAATATTCTAAATATCCATTAAGTATAAAAATATCTTATTGAGCCTTCTAAGGGATAAACAGTGTGTAGAGCTTAAAAAAATCAATCAGTCTCTATTCATGAAGTTTATGGCAAGGAAAATAAATAGACCTATATAATATAAAAAGTCCCCCACCAACTTCAGATTTATCTGACTTTTCTGAATTATAAGAGATATTCACTTATTACTTGTATAATTAGAAATTAAGAACAAGCAAAACAGGGCTTCTCCCCACCTACTTCTGAATAATGAAGGAGTTCTATAAGAACAAGACAGTAAGGAAAATAATTCGGATAGAAGAAATAACATATAATGGCAGAGTTGTCAAATCGTTATGGTAGGCATACATGGCAATGGACAGATCAGGAACGATGTTTTATGTAATTCTGTAAAGAGTGGGTTTTTCATCTCGAAAGAGAAATCAATAAAAAGTTCTCAGCATGTGAATGACAATCAAATGTGCACTTGGATATCAGAGTAAAAACTGAGTAGGAAAGAGTCACAACGAAGGGTAGAAAAACTAGTTAATAAACGTCTATGAAAGTTAAGAGGAGAGTTGGTCAGGCTATGAGAACAAAGACATATTTCACAATCTGCATTTGGTTTCTAAGTGAATGGGGAGTCTGGCAGAAGACAGAAAAGGTATGAGCCTCCAATTTCAATTTTGTATCAAAATCAGTGATAGTGCCACCACAAAGTTTGCGAATGCGAGGAGCTCAAAGGGCTGAGATATCAACCACAAAGATAAGAAATTTAATATGTCTGGAGAAATACTACAATCATTAAATTGAAATAGAACCTTCTTAACAATGTAACAGCATCATGATCGGGACCCTATAGAATTTTGAAGCAAGTATTTGGAGACCTAAGGGTTGGTTTTTGTTGTTAAATTTGTTTTGTGATGTATGTGTTTCCCTTTGTTATTTTTGGCTTTGGTTCTGTCCGTTTCCTTTGTACAAAACATGCACTTCTCTTAGAAGTCATACTGCTTATTATTACACGTGCTCATTTGACTCTCAATTGGGAATTTCTTTTTCTCCTGGTGTTATCTTGCACTAGTGGTTACCTTCTAAATGTTAAATTTTCATTTCCATATTATTTGTATACTGATAAACCATAATTTCCTTGAAGCCACGTAGCATGCTATAGCATTTCTATCACTTAGAATGTTTAATAACTTTCCAAAATTTATGTAGACCTATATGAGTCCTTTTCTTAATCCATCTGGCCTCTCTTAATGTCAATGCTCTTCTCCACCCCTCATCAAGATGAGGAAAGAGAATTTGCCCAGAATTCAGATATTTATGAAAAAATAAAATGTTTGGGTCTCCAGGTTATCTGGCAAATCAAGTGAAAAGTGAACCTACCTCCCCCAAATGACCCCTAAGCTTTATAGGTTACTTTATCACTGGGTTATATCAACAGCCCCCCAACTCCAGTTGATGAGTAAATCTTATTTTCTTTTCCCTATTGCCCTATGGAGAGAATTTCCATCCTCTCAATCTCAGACCACTAATTCTTATTCGCAGTTTTGCTTAGATGTTTTTTGAACCAGTCCTTCCCTACGTAGCTTTAAAATTTAAGGCAGTAATTATCAAACCCTCAAGTACCCTCAAGAGATAGGTAAAATCTTCTTCCTGGGTGTCTAGGAGATCTAATCTAAAAAAAGCTCCTTATCTTTGATGTATTGTGAACATTACAAAAATTGATTCAAAGCTTGCATTTTACTGTATCTCTGTCTAAATATTAAAATGCTTTAATTTAGTCATCACTTATATTAACTTCTGGTCAAAAATTTCCAAAAACCGATTCTATTTTGAAGCTTCTTCGCCCTCCGGATACACCACTACAGACTGGAGTTTAAATGCTCAATGTAAAAGATTACTACATACATCACAGTGCCCTTCACAAAACGTTAGTAATATAGCTGGGCGCGGTGGCTCACGCCTGTAATCCCAGCACTTTGGGAGGCCGAGGTGGGCAGATCACGAGGTCAGGAGTTTGAGACCAGCCTGGGCAATATGGTGAAACCCCATCTCTACTAAAAATACAAAAGTTAGCTGGGCGTGGTGGCACACGCCTGTAGTCTCAGCTACTTGGGAGGCTGAGGCAGGAGAATCGCTTGAACCCGAGAGGGAGAGGTTGCAGTGAGCTGAGATCGCACCATTCACTCGGGGCTGAGTAACAGAGTGAGACTCCGCACCCCCTTCCAAAAAAAATTAGTAATACTTTTGAGGAACACATTTAAAATGCTACAAAACTATATAAAAACAAAAGTAAAGACATGAACTCATGATTCAGTTGAAACTGAATACTAAATTTCATTTAGAGCTTAGTAAAAATAAATTTGTAATTATTTTCCCATCCAAGTTCAAAGACACTTTACCCTTAAGAATCCACCTTCTAAAGGAAAAAAGAAAATAAGTGCTAACACTAAATGAACACTGTTGCAGGATCTCTGATAATCACTATGTACACTTCATGTCATTAAACCATCACAAATACTATTCCACAGATTAGGCTGCTTAGGAAAGTTATTTGTATAAAGCCATGTGACCAAAAATACATTCAAACTATAGTGTAACTCCAAATGAAGACTGTGACAAAGCACCTCAAAAAAATTTTCTAGCCTCTAGCTGAGGAATCATTGAGGAACACTCTACTGATAACACTATAACTCATTAATACTCCTATTAAACAACTTTCTGTTTGGGCAATTAAAAACAATGTTCAGTTAAAACTAAAATCTAATACTTCCTAGAGTTCCACATGAGATCATCACCATCATCGTCATCTTCACTAGCTAACCCAAAGGAACAAGGTAAACACAAAAACTCCCCACTCTTGTACCAATCTAAAAAGTAAATTTTTGAATCCATTTTCCAACTGTGTCACACACAGTTGTTAGTATCCTTCTAAGGTGTGTATATGCCTATGTATACTTTTTAAGTAAACTTATAAACATGTGGTAACTAGGGCATATTTTATTCTGTCTACGGCAGCTTCTTGGTTTATCCAACTAAGTATTACTAATTCTATTTTCTTAGAATGAGAAGTTCTCAGAACAATGATCTATCACCTAAATTTCAAATGAATGTGTAACTGGTAGACAAACTTAAAGCAGACTTTCTAAAACTATTAACAGTGCTCAAGAATGCATCTATTTACATCTTAAAAATTTCTCAGTTACTATATGCTACTCTAATGAAAGCTATATTCAAATTATAATTTTTTCCCACAGCATGCCAACAGATTAGGAATTATAAACAGACAGATCTGGATTTGAATCCTGTCTATTCTTTAGCAGCTGGTTATCTCTGACAAATTACTGTAAACCTCGTTAGGCTTCTCGGTTTTGTATTATCAATCATCATTGGTAACTGATAGTACTGAGAGATCCTCATTATGTAAGGATTGAAAGAAAAATGGTTGTAGCACTGAGAAAAGTATCAAACATTATTCTGCAATTTCCTTAACTTGGGTTTTACTTTTAAGTTGTAAATTTTCCCTTGGCAATGTTCACAGGATATCTTTGCTAAAATATTATTTTTCAGTTAGTTTTAAGCTGACTCTTTAAATATCAAATGATTTGCTCTAGAGATGGATTTTCTTTCTTTGGAAGAAGCCAAGATCATTTCCATTTAAGGGCATGTAAGCAGCTGCTGCTACACATTTTAGTTACCCATAAGAAAGTGAAGTGGGCTAAGTTCACTCTGTCATAAGCATTTAAAAAATTAAAAATTACAAGTACCTCCTCTAAAATTAAAGAAGAGATTTAAGAATTAATATTTTCGAGTGTGGTGACTTAAGTAAATCTAACATCTAAGACAACAAATTAGATAAACAGAGAAGAGGAGAATGATGCCCGGCTTTACAAAAAAATTATTTCCCCAGTTCTACTGTAAGATAAACTGTTCTAGGAAGTTCAAAATATCATCTCACTTACTAGCATCTCATTTTTATAGTAATTTTCAGGAAAGCAACTGCTAGATTAAATGAGGCACATCCTTTCAAAAACATTACAAAACTTAAATTTCAACACATCAAACCTATAAAGCCTCATTAACTGAGATGTAACTGATTTGGAATCTGTAATTATTTCTTTTTTGCCATAAAGTTGCCCTTAATACTGCATCAGTTTATTAAAAATTTGGTAAGATTGTGTAATAATTTAATGCAATTGTTTTTAAAAAATCTTAAATACTTAAAGTAGCATATTGCTATTTTGGGGGTGTTGTATGTATCAGTTTAAATATAAGTATTACTATTCACAAATATATTGTTAAACTGCTAATTGAAGAAAACACAAATGAATTAAATACATTTATTAGTTCTTTAACTGTAAGATAAAAATAATTTTTTAAAACAAAAAGCAATTAGCCTGATTTTCTCATACTCCTTCTCCCATACACACAAGAACAAGAACAAAATAAGAAAACAGGTATAAAATTTTATTGTGTAAAAATATTTCACTTTCACTAAAAGCTAACATTATGAAGACACGTATTAAAGCAACAGCAGCAAGAATTCAATGAAAGTTGTTTTGCTTATACCTGTGTTTATTTTTCTCATAATTAAAATTCCTGCAGTAACTATTTTAGCTCTTCAACATCTTCACCATTAATATTCAATTATCTCTAAGCCTGAAGATGCATGAATCTTTAACAAAAGCTTTCCACCACCTCAAGTTTACTTATTTTTTTCATTTATCTACCATATACTGTTTTAAATTAAAAACAAAAGATGAAGCACAAAGTGTTAATGACTTTTCCATACCTAAAGTAAGAAGTTCTAAAGTTTGGTTGTGATAAGACTGAGACTGTGGCTAACCAATCGAAACTTCAGAATTCCTATGTGACATCATAAGACCTCCCTAGAACACTTTTTCTCCTCCACCTACTGCAACTGTTCCCATAAACTGGGTGACAGAGTCAGAAAACTCCCCAGCTAAACACCCGTAAGACTTCATACAACACAATACTCTATACTGTGATGATCACAGCTGCCAAGGTAAGAAACAGATTTCGCTGACTTTGGTAATTCTTACTTTCTATAATTCTTAATTCCTATAATTTCTATAATCTGAACTTTTAAAATGAGTTAATTTTATGAATATCAGTTCAATCTTAGGCAATAAAATGACATGACAAAGTGCTTAAATTTATAAATGCTTATCCATTTAGTGACAGGAAAAATGAGACAACTTTGAAATGAAAAAGGTCATATTCATCTTTGATCCTGGTTACTGGTTTGTCATTTAAATTTATCTTTCACTTTTATTTTGCTTTTCAAATGTGAATTTCTGCCAATTAAAAAATCTTCCAATTATGTTACCATATTTGGTAGTAGTGGTTAATTTCTCCATGCAAAAACAATGACTTAATTTTGTTATTTATTGCTCTGCTGAGAAACAGTGCAGAACTGAGCTATTTACATCTGAACTAATATGAATAGTCATTTGACTACAACATGCACATTATCAGCATGCCTATTCCAATATTATCATAATTTCATACAGTGAATAATGAAATGGAGTTTCAGAATATATAATACAAGCTACTTTTAAAGTGCCCTTGAGGATGTTTCCCCTCTAAAGTCCAGTCAACTTTTAACAAACATTTCTAAAAAAATTCCATGCTATTAATAAATTGAGTTACTGATATTAAATTCAATATTGTATCATAAAGAAGTTTAGAAATTTTAAAACAATGTTCACAAACACAAAAAATCTGACGTTAGAGAATAATTTGATACTTTAAAAAGTTATTTTGACACACGAATATTCTTAACTATCTTATTTTCACACAAATTTGATTAAATGGATTTCTGCCTATTAATGCCTATAGTTTTGTCAAGTTATTATCCTCCAGTGGTACTCCATTTCCTCTCTCGGATTTAGAAAGAAAGGAAAAAATAAAATAAATGCCAGGAATGGAGATGCCACAATCAATTTTATGACTTCTGTTTGAATTCTACCCTATTCTTTATGTTACAATCCTCAATTTAGTAAATGAAACGTTTCCTCATTCTTAGATCTCTGTCAGGGCATACAGAAAATTACATATATTTTATTTATTTTGATTTTCATATTTCATATATATGTTAAAATAAAATTTATCTCTAAAATTCTCAATTCCTATGACAAATGTTAATTCTATTGCTCACTACAAATAAGAACTTTGTAACTCTGTAAGCAGCTTTCCTTAAGACATAAAAAAACATAATTTTTGTCTACCACTGAGGTATCCTAATTGTGTCTCCATATCTCTATACTCATATTTTTCCTTTGATAGTACATAAAAGTCATTCAGTGTAGGTGTCTTATGTTATTTGTGCATTTTTATTCAAATATCTATCAAATTACATTCTCACACTTCAAATTGGGTGTTCACGAGTTATTTTATTGTATCAGAATTTTGCTATATCACATATTACTCTAAAAAGTACACATACTTCTGGATAGAGCAGAAATTATATTAAACTTACCCTTAGCTCACTAGTATGTCTCAGTTAACAGAAATTACAGTTACAGAGACTGCTAAAATTTCAAATATAATGTGGTAGTACCATACATTGTGTCCCAACTAGTTCATCTATACCTTAAGGTGCAAGTTAAGTATTATCTTTGTTTATGAAGACATGTGGTTTCAAAGTAAGTGCTAAAAAAAGTGTTAGATGAAATCAAATGGAAAAAATATGAAAGATGTTTAAATTAAGAAGCATTAAGTTTTAAAAACGCATGAAAGAGCCAGAGTACTTGCTTTACTAAAAGGCGTGACAGCACTATCATTTCCTAAAACTCAAATATCAAATCCATTTTATTTGTATTTTAGTAGGCATAAAGGAAAATGATCACATTTGGGTATATAATCATATCTTTAATTAGTGAGATTAAGAAATAATAAAATATTGCATAAATACAATAGTTTCAGAAAATTTTAATGTATTTTAATGTTTTAATGTACTCATTACACATGTACACTAAATTATGTAATATATTAAATTTTTAATTAAAAAACCTAAAGTCTAGTTACCTCTCCAAATTAGACAATATATTACCAATCCCAGAAATGAGGAGGGCCAATGAACACTTCTTTTTTATTCTTAAAGAGCAATTTCCTAATATACTCGTGTACACAAATATTTCATTTGGTCCTCTTAATTATATATTTGATACTGCATCCCTATTCTACAATTTAGGAAAGATGCAAAAAGGTGAACTGCTCAAGATCACAGAACTAAGAAAACAGGGAAACCTTGGCAGAAGTTTAGGTTTTGTCACTAAGCCACATGCACATCCTCTATATACTGATCAGCATGGCTTAAAGTAAACCATGACACTGACAAACAAAATTTGAAAGCCCCCAAATACTGTAAATGATATTCTAAAAGGCAAAAGGCAAATTCAGAGAATACAAACTTCTATTTTAATTAAAAGCCATTCCACTCCATTTAAATTCAATTTATGCATAGCATTACATTCTTAATAGTCTAAATTATATTCTACTGATCATTTTCAAAACCAGAAATATACGAAAATTACAGATGCCCTTAGTTATTAAGCAATACCTCCTGGAAGGCAAAATTCAAACTAACTGCACAGACTTTAAAAAAAATAACACACCCCAATCAATCAAAGTTTCCTTTTATTTGTTTCATTGCTAAAATACTCATGCCTTCAATTCATCTGATACCTAAAATCCAAGTTAACATCTCCTCAAAACTTTCACAAAAATCACATTTCGATACTTTATTCTAGGTTCCCTAGAATCAAGTAGTCTCTTTGTACAATTTCAAAGTTCTTACCCAGAGTAATTCTGAAGCATGTGTTACCAAATAAACACATGAAAATGAAGCCTGGATGTACAGCATACTCATAGTCAACTGAGGACCTCTAGTGCCTTTGAAAAGGTACTCCATCTTTAGTTTTCAACCCCCAACCCCCGCACAAAAAAAAAGGTTGACTAACTCACTCACATTAATAGGGGGTATATTTATTAAGTGGCATTCATTTTAAATCCTTAAGACTTTCTCAATACTACCTCCCCATATTCTCTTCCCCCAGAAAAGATTCTGAATTTCCAACTCCTACAGGGTTAAGAAGAATATTTTACTTGTAAATACACTTGTAAAGCATTGTTTCAATATTTAAAAAACAATAATGAAGGCAAACCTACAGACAATATAGCAACAGCAATAAGCTAAATTGTCAGTTTTAGAGAGAAAAATATCTCTGTGCTGTTGTTTAATGAATTCTCCTCAAGACAGAGCTTTAACATGAGAAGCACTTCATTATGGGTCAATTTAGGAATGAGAATATATTGATTTTTATGCATATACAATTATTTTCATAACCAGACAGAAGCAGCTTGAAGATTCTTTCAAACAGCCAGTCTGGACCAACAAAGCTCTGGAATGTTGCTACCACAAAGTAACTTCAAATAGAATGTCCAAGTTTAGTATTAGGCAATCTCAAAAGGAAAATGACTCCACTGGAGTGAACTTTTGTAAGCCAACAGATTCATCGTAAATCTAATGATGAACTGTCCTAATTTATTACCACAAGTCCAAAAAAGGGTATATGCACATTCACTTATGGCTTATCAGTGGAAATGTCAGAAAGTAGTAGAAAAATAAAATTCCAAACAATCCAAATATAGACAAGTCCTGTTTATTCAATCTATAGAAAATTCTAATCTTCTAAACCAATTAGATGGAAAAAACATCCTAGAGTATATCAGACTGTAGCCTTAGATATTACTTGAATTCAATTTAATAAAGTATTTCTTCAGTACTCCCATGTTTACTAAAAGAATAAACAAAATTAAAAGGAGAAAAGCAAAATTCTAAATTCTACAAACATAAAGAATCCCAGGAATTTATTATTTCAGCAAAAGGAATACCACCAAAAATACTGAAGTTTGAGAAGTTCTGCAAGAAGTGAACATACTTAAAGTATAGATGGAGATTAATGCTCAGCATATACAACATCATTAAAGTATCAATTGTCTAGCAAGTCATAAAGCAGGCCACCAAAAGTTTTCAGAAGACTATTGAGGTTCCTTCCGCACAAGAATGCATCTGATATTACATTGCTAAAACAGGACTCACTGCAGACAAAGTAAGGACTCCTGAAGGAGTTGATATATAGTAGCTTCCACCAAACATGTTGCCTAACATGGTATATGACATTAGTCAAAAGATTAGAGTTGCCTAATGGCTTTTCTATTTCCTTCTTCCACCTCAAAAAAAAAACCAGAATACCATCTTGAACTTGATTTTTTTTTTAATTTCCAGCGTTACTTTTCTTGAGGAAAGGACGACAACCAAAGGATTTATAAATCCCACAAAGAATAGTAAAGAATTCTTTATTTTTATTCTTCTCATTCCCCTAAAAAGTAGAGTAATCATGGATCCACAGACATAAGATACTCTGTGGATACTTTCCTGCCTCTGACATGTAACTCAAGAGACAGGAGTCTGGCATTTCTACACCCAAACTCCTAACAAGCACCTTTCATGTTTTCAATACTCTTGATTCTAGGGCCTAGAAGACAATTTGATTTTAAAATTCATCTATAAATGAATACCACTCTTGTGTCAAAACAACCAATTTATATATATTGTCATTCTTTTAATAAAAGGGTGGAGAGCAGCTTCAGTTTCCATGGTTGTTTAGGCCATATACAAGTTCAGAAAATCCCAAAACTATTTATGATTAGACTAACAGAATGCTCTAAAAAGATCAGATAACATGAAAATAAAACTAAACTATTTTTGTATGCTTTCCATCGAAAAAGTACTCTATTAAACAGCTTAGCTGTTAAGAAATTAAAAAAAAAAAAAAAAAGGAAACTCATACAGTGGTTGTCAGTGCAGAGAAGAGAATGATAAACATCTGACAACCATGCCATAAATTATAATGTAGTAAAGGTCACAGACAACTCCAAAAATAGGATTCTGCTGTTCCCACAACAAAGGTTTTCAATTCTCAATGTATGACAGGAAGCCCCATCTTCTATGGATAAAATCTGGCCTAATTATCATCATACAAATGTTGGTATTCAGTAGAACTAGGATTCCACACATTTCAGATGATAACTGTAAAAAATTGAGCCCAATAAATTAAATGTATATCATTAACATTTTAGCGTGTAAAGCAGATTTAAGTTTAGGCATAAAATCATAAAGTAGTTACAAATAACTTTAGGATTATGGCATATTTCTAAATCTGACAAGAAACAGGATACTATTTTTGGTCATCTCCTTTACACCCAATTTGTTTCCAGAAACAAACTCTTCTTTTTCAATAACAGTTAGCTGTTGTAGGATTATAAGATCATCTTTAAAGTATGTTAACTATGCTTTAAACAGTAAAGAGCTCATCTCTTTAGGGCATATCTCTGTATTTCACAAATACTAAAAACCCATTTATACAAAGCCTAGTTCAGGTTAATACTGTGTTAATCAGGTAACCATTAATTTAGGTGAATCCTCTAAGCCTCATTTTTCTCACCTGTGATAGAAAGAGACTTGAGGAAAATATTAGAGCTTACATGTCCAACTAACAAATTGTTATTAGAACTAGTTAATCTGTCAATCACAGCATTATTTTTAAAATTGTTTAACTTATTATTAAAAATGAGGGCCAGGCATGGTCATTCACACTTGTAATCCCAGGAATTACCTGAGCTCAGGAGTTTGAGACCAGCCTGTGCAGCACAGTGAAACCCTGTCCCTACCAAAAATACAAAAATTAGCCAGGCATGGTGGCGCACACCTGTGGTCTCAGCTACTCAGGAGGCTGAGGCAGGGAGATCGCTAGAGCCTGGGAAGTTGAGGTGCAGTGAGCCACGATTGCACAACTGCACTCCAGCCTGGGTGACAGAGCAAGACCCTGTCAGTCATTCATTCATCCATTCATAAAAACAATTAATTAATTAAAAATGAGATGGGGTCTCATTATGTTGCCCAAGCTGGTCTCGAACTCCTGGGCTCAAACATTCGTCCCGCCTAGGCCTTCCAAAGTGTTGGAATTATAGATGTGAGCCACCATGCCCTGCCCACAGCATTATTTTTAATTAACAATTTTCTAATAGTTTTAGTCATAAAAATCCCTTATTTAACTTTAGTGATTTATTGAAGCATACCAATTATGCACTAAGTACTAGGATACTAAATAAACACACAGTTTCTTTACTTCAGAAACTATCAGTCTAGCTGGGGATACAAACATGTAAATTGAAATTGTGCTATAATCTGACAGATATCCTCATATAGATAACACTAAAGCCCTATTAAAAACCAGTAGAGGTGACAACCAATTCCACCTTAATAACTAATGAAAGGTTTCACTAGGAAGTGATATTTAAACTGAACCTTAAGAATCAACTGAAGCTTGCATGGCAGACAATCAAAAGGTGGAGAACACATTCCAGGCAGAGATAGAACAACATGTGCAAAGAACAAAATCACAAAAGGGAATGGAGTATTTATGGAAAGGTGACATGTTTCATGTGACTGAAGTACAACTTACCAGTGTCAACGTAGGGGATGACTCCTGTATATGCTTCATGATAAACTCCTGGCCAACTCCCTCCTTTCCCATGTTTTGTCTCAAAATAATTTTTAAAATTTCTGACCTTTTAAGACCACTTAAGCCCAAAAACCTCACAAAACCATATGTTCAAATAGGAATTACCAAGTCTAATTATTATTCCTTTCTTAACTGTATTCTGCTACACATCTTCATAAAAGGTGACTACTCGGCCAGGTGCAGTGGCTCACGCCTGCAATCCCAGCACTTTGGGAGGCCGAGGCGGGTGGATCACGAGGTCGGGAGATCGAGACCATCCTGGCTAACATGGTGAAACCCCGTCTCTACTAAAAACACAAAAAAATTAGGCATGGTGGCGGGCACCTGTAGTCCCAGCTACTCGGGAGGCTAAGGCAGGAGAATGGCGTGAACCCGGGAGGTGGAGCTTGCAGTGAGCCGAGATCGTGCCACTGCACTCCAGCCTGGGCAACACAGCAAGACTGTCTCAAAAAAAAAAAAAAAAAGTGACTACTCAAATATAAATAAAATCTTCCCATAATTTTCCAATCCACTAGATCTACAATAAGCAAATATCAACATAAGCAAATATCAACATAAGCAACTTAAAGGATGAATCTCAATAAAGAACAAAAGAAAATCTATTTATATTTTACCTGAAGAATTCAAACAAAAGTCATTAAATATATGTCAAGTTTAAGCTGCTATGTCCCTTATTTTTAACTTTTGTTTTAAGTTTGGGGGTATGTGTGAAGGTTTGTTACACAGGTAAACACATGTCATGGGGAGCTTGTTGTATGTATTACTTCATCATCCCGTTATTAAGCCCAGTACCCAACAGTTTTCTGCTCCTCTGCCTCCTCCCATCCTCCCCGCTCAAGTAGACCCCAGCGTCTGTTGTTTCCTTCTTTGTGTTCATAAGTTCTTATCATCTTGCTCCCACCTGTAAGTGAGAACCTGTGGTATTTGGTTTTCTTTTCCTATGTTAGTTTGCTAGGGATAATGACCTCCAGCTCCATCCATGTTCCCGCAAAAGACATGATATCATTCTTTTTTATGGCTGCATAGTATTGCATGGTGTATATGTACCACATTTTCTTTATCCAGTCTGTCACTGATGAGCACTTAGGCCGGTTCATGTCTTTGCTATTGTGAATAGTGCTGCAATGAATATTCATGGGTGTATGTCTTTACGGCAGAAAGATTTACACTCCTCTGGATATATACCCAGTAATGGGATTGTTGGGTCGAATGGTAGTTCTGCTTTTATAAGCTGCTATTTTCTAAGTAGAAGTGTTATAGACAACCTAAATAACAGCCTTTAGCCACCTGTTTAGACAATGAAGAATATATGCTAGAAAAATACAGGTAGTTAATAACTCTTTAAGGAAAGAAAATTTGATAGAAGTTGAGTGTTTGGAACTCCTTGCTACAGACCAATATTATGAAGGGGGACAGAGTCTCAAGCCAAAAATGCCCAGTCTACTATATAATTCAGAATATAATAGACCCAAGTTGAACACTACAGAATCTAAACACCATAAACCATATGGTTTCTTTGCCAAAGTAAATGCCGGGTTCTAACTAGTCATGCCTGATACTTACCTTCCCCTTTGCCATTCTTTCAGCACTTCCTTCTGCTCCCTTCAGCACTTTCCTCTCTCAGGAATGGGCTAACAGGTTGAGATGGGCTTTTATGGGATGTATAAAAGGACTTAGGAGAAAATAAAATCTGACACCTGGGGTAAGGTAGTAATATGTTGATTAACAATAATATATCAACAAATGTTAACAGTCACTATGTCTGGCAGTTAATTACTGACTTTTTTTCTCCGTTTTTCATTTTTCTTATTTCAAAATTGACACATAAGTATACTGATTGAAAACAAAATGTCCCCAAGTGTTAATAACGATTATCTCTGGACAGTTAATACAGTTAATTTTCAGTCTATATATAATTTTTCTGTAATGACATGTAAATTCTTATTTTATTAATCATCAAAGTATAGGCCCCACAGGCAGCAATAGCTTGTGGGATCTCTGAAAGAAGGCATGATGGAAACTACTACTATTAAGTAGAAGTCTGTAAATAGGATATGTCTGTGGTAGTGAGATAATAATAATTACTATGTGTTCCAAGCTTGACAGTCTTCAGTACTTAACATCAAATCTTATTAAAATGTTACTTAAGATAACATTCTATAAAACTATAAAATCATAAAAAGGAATAACAATTTGAATCTATATTTTTGGTAAAACACTTCCCATTTAACACTATTTTATTTTAGATTAAAATTAAGATCCAGGGAACAATTTGTTGTATGCATTTCCTTTTTATGAGATTGGCTCTGGAGCTATTAATACAGTGACTGATCAAACCAATTACATCTACAGAGTAACAGATTTAAAGAAACTATATGTTAGAACTTTTACCCAAAAGAATAACCCAAAACAAGCTGTACCTTAAACCAAATACAGCAGGTCCTCAAATAACATCATTTCTATGTCATTTTGTTATAACATTTAAGTATGTGTGGGGCTTGCATATTCTCCCCACATCTGTGGGACTCTGGTTTCCTCCCATATCCCAAAACAGTGCACATTAGGTTCACTGGCATGTTTAAGTTGTCCTGGGTTGAGTGTGAGTGTGTACATGAGTGTATCCTGTGATGGAGTGGCCTCCTATCCAAGGTGGGTTCCTCCCTCCTTGAGCTGCTGGGATTGGCTCCAGCCACCAGCACCCCAAACCAGAATAAGAGGGTTGAAAAATGAATGAATGGATGAATACAAATTATTATCGAATAAAAATTGGTAAAGTCTACGGTGATCATACAAATGCATGACAATAAACGCTATGGCACAAAAGCACTCAGAGATCCCACCGTATTTGAATTGTTTTTGATCTGCATGGAGCTGGATGTGCTCCTGACAATTTTCATTTCTCAAACATGATTCCATGTTTTTAATAGACCACCACAACCACTGTTACTCACTGATTCACCAAATACTGGGTAATTATCTTTGTTGGCTTTTTTTTTTTTTTCCTGGGACAGAGTTTTGCTCTGTCACCCAGGCTGGAGTACAGTGGCATGATCTGGGCTCAATGCAACCCCTGCCTCCTGGGCTCCAGCGATCCTCCCAAGTAGCTAGGATTACAGGCACATGCCACCAGCCTAGCTAATTTTTATATTTTTAGTAGAGACAGGGTTTCACCATGTTGGCCAGGCTGGTCTCAAACTCCTGACCTCAGGGGAACTGCCCGCCTTGGCCTCCCAAAGTGCTGGGATTACAGGCATGAGCCACTGCACCTGGCCTATCTGGTTTTTATTAATCTTTCTTAAATGTATACATAGTTCATATTTCTCTCAACGTTTAATATTAGAAGTGTTTGGGGTCTTTATTGAGAAGTTTGGTGATGTTTTTGTGACCAGAAATATGCTATAGGAACTTAACTCTTGTTTACATCAATCAGCCTAGGGTAAAAATGGTTTTGTTATATGTTGTTTTGCGTAAAGTCATGGTTTCCAGGAACTTATGGAAGACACTGAGGATTACTCCAATACTTGTAGTAAATTTGGGAGAAAAAGGCAAGGACTAAAGTTACTACTCCTAACACAAATGAGACGGTCATGGTGTGCCCCATCAAAAAAGGAGAGAAAGAGAGACAGACACATAGAAACACGTGCACATACACACACACACACACACACACACACACACACACAGAGAGAGAGAGAGAGAGAGAGAGAGAGGGAGAGAGACTATAGAAACATGATGTTATAAATAACAATAGTGCTGAGGAAGATGAATTAGTGTAAAATTGTATTTTTTGTTCTGAGGATAGGTTACATAGATGATTCTAATCCATTTATTATTTTTACATTCCAGGCTACCTAAAAGAAGACAGTTATCTCATATTTGGCTGCCAGCTTTTTATCTTTCTCTCGACCACTTAAAACTTCAGACTTCCTGTCCTGCTGGTATCATGGAGAAAGTCCAATACCTCACTCGCTCAGCTATAAGAAGAGCCTCAACCATTGAAATGCCTCAACAAGCACGTCAAAAGCTACAGAATCTATTTATCAATTTCTGTCTCATCTTAATATGTCTCTTGCTGATCTGTATCATCGTGATGCTTCTCTGAAGTTCTGCTACAACCTCTAGATCTGCAGCTTGCCACATCAGCTTAAAATCTGTCATCCCATGCAGACAGGAAAACAATATTGTATAACAGACCACTTCCTGAGTAGAAGAGTTTCTTTGTGAAAAGGTCAAGATTAAGACTAAAACTTATTGTTACCATATGTATTCATCTGTTGGATCTTGTAAACATGAAAAGGGCTTTATTTTCAAAAATTAACTTCAAAATAAGTGTATAAAATGCAACTGTTGATTTCCTCAACATGGCTCACAAATTTCTATCCCAAATCTTTTCTGAAGATGAAGAGTTTAGTTTTAAAACTGCACTGCCAACAAGTTCACTTCATATATAAAGCATTATTTTTACTCTTTTGAGGTGAATATAATTTATATTACAATGTAAAAGCTTCTTTAATACTAAGTATTTTTCAGGTCTTCACCAAGTATCAAAGTAATAACACAAATGAAGTGTCATTATTCAAAATAGTCCACTGACTCCTCACATCTGTTATCTTATTATAAAGAACTATTTGTAGTAACTATCAGAATCTACATTCTAAAACAGAAATTGTATTTTTTCTATGCCACATTAACATCTTTTAAAGTTGATGAGAATCAAGTATGGAAAAGTAAGGCCATACTCTTACATAATAAAATTCCTTTTAAGTAATTTTTTCAAAGAATCACAGAATTCTAGTACATGTAGGTAAATCATAAATCTGTTCTAAGACATATGATCAACAGATGAGAACTGGTGGTTAATATGTGACAGTGAGATTAGTCATATCACTAATATACTAACAACAGAATCTAATCTTCATTTAAGGCACTGTAGTGAATTATCTGAGCTAGAGTTACCTAGCTTACCATACTATATCTTTGGAATCATGAAACCTTAAGACTTCAGAATGATTTTGCAGGTTGTCTTCCATTCCAGCCTAACATCCAATGCAGGCAAGGAAAATAAAAGATTTCCAGTGACAGAAAAATATATTATCTCAAGTATTTTTTAAAAATATATGAATTCTCTCTCCAAATATTAACTAATTATTAGATTATATTTTGAAATGAACTTGTTGGCCCATCTATTACATCTACAGCTGACCCTTGAACATGGGGGTTAGGGGAGCTGACAATTCGTGGGTCCGCAAAATCTTAACTACCTAATAGCCTACTATTGACCATAAACCTTACTGATAACATAAACAGTAAATTAACACATATTTTGCGTGTTATATGTATTATACACTATATTCCTACAATAAAGTAAGCTAGAGAAAATGTTATTTAGAAAATCATAAGAAAGAGAAAATATATTTACTATTCATTAAATGGAAGTGGGTCAACATAAAAGTCTTCATTCTCATTGTCTTCACATTGAGTAGGCAGAGGAGGAGAAAGATGGGGAGGAAGAGAAGGCGTTGGTCTTGCAGTCTTGTCTTAGGGGTGTGGGGAGTGGGGGAAAGAATATTCATGTATAAGTGGACCCTTGCAATTCAAGCCCTTGTTGTTCAAGGGTCAACTGTAATAGGATATAGCTATTTTTCTTCCTCTATCAACCAAATGGTAAGCATCTATTTTGCAGTCCACTCTACTGAGCTAAATTATAGATCCAGCTATGCTATTTATAATTATTTTCTTGATGAATAAATTTTCAATTTCTCCTCTGACCATTTCAGAACATCTTCCAATAACTCATAAAACAACTGAAGTAAAATTGAGTGCTGGAAAATATATTCACCAAACTTTGGTAATTTAAGTTGACTAAAGTTTAAAATTAAGTCTAAAATAGTTTACACCTATACTGCATAATCCAACAATTTTAATTTCAGTTGAAGACATGTTACTAATATAACTATTATTAAAAGAGTAGAGGATGTGTAATTAACCATATCTTCTAAAACATGGTTACTAAAAGAATATGTAACATCAATATTGACCTTGGTTTCTTACACAAGTGTTGCTAACTCAATAGTGAAGGAGACACTATTAAATTTTCTGAACCCATGAGAGATACTAGAGATGGGGAGTGGAAAGTGTTTGGTTCAGGGATATCTGAAGAACAGAAGGGCAGAGATTTCTTAAGTGACGCCTCATCTACAAGCTGGAAATTCCTAAAAACAAGTAGAAAGCTTATAAACAACAGGTGATACACTCACCTCACTGGTTTTAGTAAATTACCAATACAGAAAGTATCCCTAGTCTTAAAAACAAGTGGAAAATTTGAACTGATTAGTCATATTCCTTTGATTACACTGTTTGTTACAATATTTTTCTCAGTAAACAGAAATAACTAATTTTTTTGTTCTTCATTCTTTGATAGAAATTAAAATCTTATTCTGTGAGGATTACAGAATACTATAACTCAAATTATAAAGTAGAATAAACTCTTTAAATAATTATTCTTCATCATAAAGTGTAAAGAATAAGATATAAGAAAACAATTTATTTTTAAAATTTAATATACTAAATGCTCAAATATGTTCTACTATAGAATAAGTTCTTATCTTAATTTACAGGGCACTAAAAACAATTTTAAAATGCTTAATGTTGCCTTTTATATTTTAATTGGTTAAGAATATATATTTGTTTAATGCAAATCAGAATCACTATATTAAAATGAATGTTCTTGAAAACTCAGTGGGGCTGCTCTATAATACACTTACAATTGATACTAACGATAAAACGCTCTAATTATAGTTTTAATTTTATAGGGGTTTTTTTGGTGACTTTCCCCAAATAAAACAAAATCAAGACGCCCAAGTCCAGACACACAAGAGGGCAGACGTATATAAGATAACAAATTGCTACTACATAGCGATTATTTATCTTTTGATTATTTTTGAGACTTCTGGCAAAGTAGGACTATAATAAATTTTCAGAAAAGATCTGCTCTTCTGCTAAGTAACAGCACACTTCAAAATGTCCAGAAATTTTATGCTAATATTACATAGAAAACTTGACAGATGAAAAAAGTGAAACACATTACTAATTTTATTCATTAAAACAGGTATATAAAAGTCCTCTTTAACTACCTAATGAATGTGTCATATCCTAATATAGGGAGTGTCATAGTGTTCACATCTTTGAATATATAAATTATCTCAAACAGTTAAAAAATTAAAGCCAGAACAGGGTACAAAAATAAGAATAAAAATAAGAAAACTTTCTGTTCACAGGACGTAACAGAATACTTTAAACACTCTCAAGTTATAAATAAAACTTTTTCATTATTATTTCATGTTAGACAAAAAACAAGTCATTTTACTTTAACTCATTTTATCAATTTTTTTTTTTTAAATCAAGAGACAGGGTGTTACTCTGTCATGCAGGCTGGAATGCA
The DNA here is from genome assembly GCF_000001405.40 of Homo sapiens. Classification (NCBI taxonomy): domain Eukaryota; kingdom Metazoa; phylum Chordata; class Mammalia; order Primates; family Hominidae; genus Homo; species Homo sapiens. Next base: position 118,562,420 of record NC_000006.12, read on the forward strand.
GTCACATGATCATTGCACACTGCAGCCTTGAACTCTTGGGGTGCAAAGGATTCTCCAACCTTGGTTCCCAAGTAGCTGGCACTACAGGGGCACATCACCATATATGGCTAATTCTTTTTATTTTTTGTAGAGATGGGGTCTCATTGCCCAGGCTGGTCCCAAACTCCTATCCTCAAGCTATCCACCCCCCATCAGCCTCCCAAAGTGTTGGGATTACAGGGGTGAGCTACCATGCTTGGTCCAAATTTTTTGTTTATACAAGGGAAAATCTCCAGTAAAATATGTATAGGTGCCAATACCATAACTGTTCAAACACCCTTATGACTAAATAGGCACAAAATTTCATCTTTTTAATGACTGCCACCTGAAGTTCAGAAACATCCTAGGGAAAAAAGGATAAACAACTTCATCAATAAAGAGGCTACTATTATTTCACTACTGTCTGGGAGATCCATCGTGGGCTTACAGGAATCCAAATGGATACTGCCGTTACGTGTAGAAGTGTTTATCCTCCATCCCTTCCACCCTACCTTCCCCAAGAAAAGGAACTCAAGGGGGCCATGGAAAGGGAAGGAGTCTTCCCAAAAAGACCAGACTGTTTTTCCTCCTCTGTCATAGTCCCTATAGAGTCAGGCAGCTTAGGGGTTGCAGGGGGTGGGTAGCATAAGTGTGATGTACTACCGAGGAAAGAGTCAAAGACTAGCAGTAGGCATTACACATGGAGCCTTCTGTCATAAACCATCTGAGGGCATAATGGCTTCTTTTCATTCACAAAGGAAAATGATTCAGAGTACTACACTCCTGCACTCTTGATGATTTAGCAGAAAACCATGGAAATCAAGGAACAACACACACATAAGAATGTGTGTCTGGCTCAATAATTATTCTGGACTAAGTCCTAGGAAGAGCAAACCTTCAATGTTACAAATTAACCTGGGGAGTGGGGAGCTGTGAGAATCAAATGAGATAAAATACTGTGAAAGCTACAGAATTCTATAACATATAAATCTAAGGTTTTATTAGATTATGACTTTCAGCCAAATTCCTTTTCTTAGTTGTAAAAATATTGTTTTTTCATGGTGAGTGTTTAGGAGTTGTGCTTGCAAATCACAATTTATCAGACGGCCTGGTCCTTATTAAGGTTCTTCTCTTTATGTAAAAATTAGACTAAAAGAAAATCAGTGTTTCTATGATTTTTATCTTTTTTCCTTTTTAGAGACGGGGTCTGGCCATGTTGCCCAGGCTAGTCTCAAACTCCTGGACTCAGGCAATTCTCCTGCCTTGGCCTCCCAAATTGCTGGGATTACAGGCGTGCGCTACAGTGCCTGGCCAGAAGTCAATGTTTCAAAGAGGCTTTTAAGAAACAACTATGATGAAAGCTTTTAAAATAAAGATAATACTACTTGGAGGCTCCAAGAAGGTATTTAACAACTTTTTTCTGTAGTTTTCTAAGGAGGAAATTAGAAGGGAAGCAGTCATTTAATGATTACAACTTAGTTTGTCTAGTTTTCTTTACCTGAATTCATCTTTCTACTCCAAAACTTAAAAGCGCTATAAAGAGACCATCCCAAATAAAGTTAATCAAGAAGTAGGGCTTTCCAGGGTATATGCAAATTTTGCTCTTTAGTTGCCTTCTCTCTCTACTATGCACTAGAAAGAAGATTTAAAAACAAATTTATCTCAACAGTGTGTCCCCAACCTCCCTACCCTCCTCTGCATTGCTTTGAGGCTAAGAAAAACACCTTGTTTAAACCAGAGATTTGTCCAAGCAGAATAAAAAGCATGAATCAGTATTTACTCCTTGAAATTTGCCCAATTATCTCTATCACACCTACTCTAGTTTGGAATAGCATACTCAGCCCCACTGGACAGCTCCAATTCTGTGTAAAGACACCAGCTGGAGAAACAACTGCCTGGATCTCTGTTTTCCTATAATGACAAACATTTGAAAACTAAAACTTGACAGTATTTGAAAAATTAGGTTTCCTATTTTTCATCACTTGAATGGATAAATCACAAATTTCTAATTCAATCATAATGATTCTTCTGTTTTGATTGTGTTGTTTAAATACATAATCAAAATTATAAGAACTGTATCTAAAATAAGAATAAAGGTACATGCGACATGTTAAGGGTTCTCCTATGAATGTAGTATGTTAGGGTTCTATGTTTTGAGATCATACTCATATTTGTGAGGTTCCTGGACAAGTGATTTCCTTATCCTTTCATAGCCTATGTTCATTTATTCTATTTGTTTTTATTAGTAGTAGTAATGAATACCAATTTTACATTTTTACTCTAGGGAAAATTTGCAATTTTTTATAGAATTAATTTGTTTCAGAAAATTCTGATGATAAAAAACAGATGACAGGACTTATATCAGAAAATTAGTTTCCTTGTTAAAACAAGCTACAGAAAATTGTCTTGGAATAGAAACATTCCCAGATTAAGAAATTTACACATTTACATGCTATTCCCTAGACCAACTGGGGGCTGTATACTATTTTTCTTTATATATGATATCATCATAAAGCACTTTCTATAAGCTGATTAATGAATGCCTTGACACATAATTTTTTTTAAAAAAAAGTACATCTGATTTATAAACCTAAATAACATCATGTATCACCAAAACTTTACAAATGACTGTAGTTCCACCTTCTCATTGTACAGATGAAGAAACTGAGGCCCAGAGAAATTAAGTGAAAAAGTCATCCACGTTCTAAATCTAACAGAACCAGACACAAAATCTAAGACCTTGTATAGCCAAGTTGATGCTCTTTCTATTATACCTATGCTAGCTTTTTTGTTTCTGTTTCCAAGTTTATTTAGATTGAGTATGTTTTGCTTTATTTTTATGCCCATTTAACAAATGAAAAGGAAAGAACAAGCTAGGTACAAGGTTTTCAGATTTTCATGTTAATTAGTCTCAAATGCTTTGCAAGTTTATCAACAACACTTTTCGGTTTGTAACATTTCTGCCTATTAACTTGCAGGGAAAAGGAAATGCAAAACAATCTGTGAACACTTGTTATATGCTTACTGTAAGTGTGCTACTGTACTCATAACATCCACTGGAGGGAAGCAAACACTAGATTTTGCACCTTACCTGCATTGGTGTTTCACTTCCTTGTCGAAAGTCTTCAATTTGCTGCTGTTGCCAAGGAGCTAAACTGTAAGAATCCTCTGTATTTCTACCTTCCAAAGGATTTGTCCGCAGCTGCTCTGTAAGCCACATCTGAGTCCTTACGGAAGGCTGAATGGGAACTCCACCTACTGCCTGTTGACCAAGCATTAAATATTTTGGAGGTTCAAAAGCCTCTGAGCTTGTCATAATGGGCTTGCTTTCAGGTAAGGCACTATATGTCATGTCTACAGGCTGTCTCCTAAGAGTAGAGGAAGAGGCTCTAAAGTCCTCCTTGCTACAGCTCTCAAATTTATACTTGCAGTCCAGAGTTGATGACCGTTTTTTATTTATTTCCTTGTCCTCTAACCTAAGCATCTCCATACTATCATGTAAACAGCTAGGCCCAATTGTCCTCAGTTGTGATGTTAAAGCCTTAGCCTTCCCTATCTTCTCCAAACCATTCCTTGACTCTTCTCTGCATACAGTGCCACCCTGGCCACAGTTATCCGGGGCAGTGAGTTTGGATAAAGATGACCATTTCCGAAGTGGCCGGAAGTCCTTCATGTCTAGGGAAGAGTCCTGCTCCCCCCTACTGTGGTTTCCCAATGTTTGCATGAGGCTTGTACTCCATTTTGAGCCATCTGGTGTCAATGATTCCCTAAGTTTGGAAATTGAAGCGCTGGAATTAGACGGCATCACATGGGCAGTAGGAAGAGTAATCAATGATTGACTAGGCTTAAAAGATAATGTGCCACTTGAAGTTGAATGATCTGGAAAGAAAAAAGATGGTCAAATTAGTTACAATTAACAGACAAAAGAGAATGAGGTAAAATGCAATATGCCAAAAGAAATATCTGAACATGGTTTCATAGCACAAGCTTTTTTTTTTGAGACGTAGTTTTAGCTTGTTGCCTAGGCTGGAGTGCAGTGGCAAGATCTCGGCTCACCGCAATCTCTGCCTCCTGGGTTCAAGTGACTCTCCTGCCTCAGCCTCCCGAGTAGCAGGGATTCCAGGCGCCTGCCAGCACGCCCGACTAATTTTTTGTATTTTTAGTAGAGACGGGGCTTTGCCATGTTGGGCAGGCTGGTCTCGAACTCCTGACTTAAGGTGATCTGCCTGCCTCAGCCTCCCAAAGTGCTGGGATTACAGGCATGAGCCACTGTGCCCAGCCCAGCACAAGCTTTTCAAAAAGACGTCCTCAAAATGAGTAAATTATTATTATCCTTTTATCTGAAACAAGTCAACATAGTTTCAGATTGGATTTTCTAAATATGGATACCTAATAGAGTATATGGCCTTTCACCATCTACTGTACTTACAGGTGAAAAGTGATTTAAAATAGGTTTATATTTACCCTAATTAAAGTATTGTACCTTTAAAAGGAAAAATCCAACTCCTTACTGAGAGGTGTTATTCATAATCCAGCAATGAAGTCTCAGACACAACTTTGTCAGAAAAATGGTATTTTTCAGTGTCTTTCCTGAACTGTGAAAATCTATGCCAGATCTAAACATTTTAGAACCTCCCCAAACTCTAATTCAAATGAGAAATATGAGTAAAGGTGCTCCTGCAATAATGAAAAATAGTCCCAAAGGGTTCACTTCCAGTCTCATTTAATGGCATATATATATGTGTGTACATATATGTATGAATATATATGTATGTGTGTGTGTGTGTGTGTGTGTGTGTGTGTGTGTGTGTGTATATATATATATATATATATATATATATATATATATATCCATATTCACCCCAAGCTAGAACCTTAGAGTCTACTTTTATTCCTTTCTCTCTATATTTATTAAATCCCCAAGTTGTACATTTTTACCTCCAAAATAGTTGAGTTTCTATTACTTTAGGTCAGGCCCTCACATCATACTCTTCTATACAAATGAATAGTTTTAGCAGACTAAATGAAAGGCTGAAAGATAAATAATGGCTTAAATACTCAATAAATTTACCATCAAGTGCCATGTTATCATCATATATATCAAATTAAAACCAAAGACTATAATTTTGTAATCAAGGGATATCTAGAAAGGGGGTAGCAATTTAAATTGGTGTGTGGGGAGGAAGTAAGCGATGGAGACCTTTGCAATTTATTCTGTATCTCCCCACACTGTTTGACTCTTATACCAGAAGATACTTATTACTTGTATTCTCTTACATTGTCTTATGGAAAAAGTTATGTTGATAAAGTTGTAAGAAAATTCAGATTAAAACGAGCCAGGTAGACTATTCAAAAAATAAAATTCCAGTGGGTCTTTGCACAGAATGTGTTAACTTGGACATGAAAAGGGAAAAACATTACAAATGAAGGAATATAAACAGAAGTATTGTAGTGGATAGTTATCATATTCAAGACTGCCTATCAGCTTCTGAAGAAACTTCCTGCATTTAGGAAAATTCTCACATTACTGACTCCAACCCTCCCAAAATATATTTCAGACCTCAAAATCCCAGTACACCCTGAAACTATGATGCAGACATTCAGAGGCAGCAGCACAAGATTGCAGTTTTGGAAGTAAGTCACATGATAAAATGGACTCGGTGTGGAGCTACCATTTTTGGGTGATACAGGCAACAGCAGAGGCATCACCTTTCCACAACAGCAGTGACAGACGTGGCCCCGTAGTGGCTGCAGAATCAAAATTCCTATCCCAGAACTGGCAGCAGCTAGACAGCTTAGTGGTGGAAGACTGACAGTTCTCATATATGATTTGAGGCATATTACTTGGAAGCTTATCCTTAAGCCTGGCTCTCCAGCCTTCCTAAAAATTCTGTGAAGCACCAAATATATTTAAGTAAATTTCCTATGTGCTCAACCAGCCAGTAAACAACTTCTGCTGACTGAAAACACTGAATCGTCCAATCATGAAGCCAAAAGAATGTGGCTGTATAACAAGAAAAATAAATCCATGTATCTACAGTATGGAGTTAAAGTGCCAAGAAAAGTTGTCAAGGTAACTCTTGATAGGTAAAGGTGAAGCAGAATTATACACATCTTCAAACGCTCTGCTAAGTAAAGAGCCTGGCCTTCATTCAGCATGAAATGTGGTATCACTGAGCTTCCAAACAAAGGAGTGAATGATATGATCAAAAAAATTGTACTTAAGATGACTGATTATTCTGACAGCAGAGTTGCCAATGGATTAAAGCAAAACAACTGGCAAACACAGTGATTAACAGACTATTCTGGTAATCAGGAGAACAAGAAAATAAAGGGGAATATGCTACTGAGGGTTGGTTCTAAATAGAAACAGGACAGACGTCCCCAAAAGTTTATGGAATATTTGTATTCACATATTATAGCATTATATATATTTTACATATATTTGTATTAATATTACTAAAGGAGTAGTTATACTAAAATCATCATAGCCTCTAAAAGATATCTTTAAATTAAAAAAAATAAAAAATTAGTCTTGTATCAAGTTGCAGGTAAAAATACAGACCAAAGGTTAAGTATAACAGTTTTAATTTCAAAACTATTATATAGAGTAAAATATAGGGCTGGGGGCAGTGGCTCACACCTGTAATTCCAGCAATTTGGGAGGCCAAGGCAGGCGGATTACTTGAGGTCAGGAGTTCAAGACCACCTTCACCAACAATAATGAAACTCCATCTCTACTAAAAATACAAAACTTAGCCAGGTGTGGTGGCAGGCGCCTGTAATCCCAGCTACACAAGAGGCTGTGGCAGGAGAATGGCTTGAACCTGTGAGGCGGAGGCTGCAGTAAGCAGAGATTGTGCCACTGTACTCCAGCCTGGGTGACAAGGCTAGACTCTGTCTCAAAAAAAAAAAAAAAAAAAAAAAAAAAGGAGTAAAATATACAGCCTTTTCATGGCACATGTATACATATGTAACAAACCTGCACGTTGTGCATATGTACCCTAGAACTTAAAGTATAATAAAAATATATATTCAAAAAAATAAATAAATAAAAATAAAAAAATAAAAAACATACAGCCTTTTTAGATTCAAATTCTGGCTCTATCACTCAGTAGTTATGCATGCTCAAACATGTTATTTAATAGTTAGTTACCTCCTCCATACAATGGAGATGACAACAGTGAGAATTAAATCAAAACACATAAAATACACAGAAGAATTCCTGGCAGAAAGCAAAATGTTAGTTATTATGATGTCATTAAAAAGCTACAAGTAAATATTAATTTCAATGTAACAGACAAAGGCTAAATACCCATACATATAAAGAGCTTCAACAAATCAACAAAAAAAAAACCTAGCAACTCAATTTTAAAATAGGCCAAAAAAATTCAATAAGTAAATAAACAAGAAACACAACTAGAGAATATATATTTTTTAAAAATCCTCAAACGCACTAATAGTAAAGATACATTCTCTATCATATTCAGAAAACTATTAAAGGCTGCAAATATACTACAGTAATGGGAACACAAACTGTTATAGTCTTTGAAAGAAGGGAGGCAATTTGTACATATCACTGTTTAAAATATGAATACACATATGTGAACATACATATCTAGATATGTAGATGCGTGCATATCTATATATAAATACATATACATTCATTAGCAGAGAAAAGATCCGAAAGAATACACACAAAACTTAATAAACAAAGGTAACCTCTACATAGTGGAAAGGGGGCAAAAGGAGAAAAATACTTCCACATTTTACTTTATACAATGTCTTATTTTAATTGCTTCCAAGGAATATAACTTGACCATATGGTCAAACTTCTGCAAAGGTATTTTGTTGTTCTGTGACCTCAAAAGAGTTTAAAATACTTCTAAAGTATGAATAATAAATAGGTAATTGTCTCACTTTCCATATCACAGCGGAATCCTCTAAGACCCAGTTTGGCTGCTTCTTGTATCCAGTAATGGGCTACTTTCCAATCTGCCTTTACTAACTCAGTACTTTCCAAATGCAAAGAAAAATCAGCAATGAGTGAAAAATCAATTTCACATCAGACTAGTGTTTATTCCCTAAATCTGAAAGCAGCTGATATATGCTGTCCATAGACTATGATACTGAATATAGAATTTATTCCTAAAATTCCCTTATTACAAATTCTCAAATCTTGGCATAAAAAAAGTTGCCTGAGAGCTGGTGCCCTACTCCAAGAGATTATGATCCAGTAAGAGTAGAGAAGGGCCTAGGAAATACCACTTCTAAATAAGTGATTTTGCTGCTTCATTTACTATAACATCATTCCATATGGGTCTGATTCCAGTTCTGAAGGCTTTAAGCTTAAATATCCCAAGTTCAACCATAACCAGTATCTGAGTTCTAGTGTAAAATCTGATTAACTGTGACATTCAGAATTCATTACTGTCAAAACTAAGGATCAAAGCTTAGTCTACTGACATACATATGCACACACACACACATGCACACACAACATATGAATAAATGAAAAAAGAATTATTTGAAAGAATTAAATATTTAGTATTTATAAGAGAATTAAATATAAGAATTAAAATTTTTAAATTAAATATTTAAGAATATATGAACAAAGAATATTTTCCCCCAGTATGAATATCTAGGTGGGAAAAGGGTCATTATTATACCTTAGAAATGAGTCTAGAAAATGTTAACTTTAACAATTTCAACACTTAAAAATGTTATTTTACCCTGAGGAAACACAGTTAATTAGAGGTAGATATAATGCAATTCCTAATGTGCTTGATTAGGCTACCTAATTGTAGCCACAAATCCCAAATGCAAGTTATTACTATCTATCCCACATCTAAGTCACAACAGTGATATCTGAAACCAACAGAGGGTAGTCCTTTTAAAAACAAGAATGTGGCTTATAGCATTGACAGTAGGCATAGATGAGCTAATGGTTTCAGACAGATTTAAGTTTTAAAGGCCAGAATATAAGAAAGGGACGCTGATATAGTCTGATAATGCAAGTGAGTTGTATTTAAGACAGCATATTTCTCAATTCCAAACAAAATCCCAATCTTCTGTTTCGCTATCATGTTATTCTCATCTGGTATTAAATGAAAACATTGATTCTATCTTCTCTTATATACAGGGATGGTATCTCTCTCTCTCTCTCTGTCTGCTCTATCCTTCTGATAGTAATAAGGAATTAAATGCAAAAAAAGACCACTCCCACCCTCCAGATCTACATTAAAGAATAAATCATCAGTCTTCACAGTTTAAAAAATAATCAGTAAACTATATAACCCTGTATCAAAACACTGATTTAAAATAACATTTTCATACTTATCAGTCAACATAAAATATTATAACAAATATTTTATTTTTTAAATAAAATTGTTAACCCTAACCACAAAGGCAATAATTTTGTTTTGTTTTGTTTTCTTGGAGACAGTTTTGCTCTTGTTGCCCAGGCTGGAGTGCAAGGGAACAATCTCAGCTCACCACAACCTCTGCCTCCCAGGTTCAAGCGATTCTCCTGCCTCAGCCTCCTGAGTAGCTGGGATTACAGGCAAGCACCACCACACCTGGCTAACTTTGTATTTTTAGTAGAGACGGGGTTTCTCCATGTTGGTCAGGCTGGTCTCGAACTCCCAACCTCATGTGATCTGCCCGCCTTGCCCTCCCAAAGTGCTGGGATTACAGGCGGAAGCCACCACTCCTGGCCCAGGTAATAATTTTTATACAACACAATGAGTTTTTTTTCCCTTCCTGCTAACGCCATGATCATATCATGTTACATAGGAAAAAAAAAACATGTTATGCCACATGTAACCCATTCTTTAAAAAAAAAAAAAAAAAAAAAAGGTGTATTCCTAGCACTTTGGGAAGCCAAAGTTGCCAGGTGACGAGGTCAAGATATCAAGACCATCCTGGCCAACATCGTGAAACCCCGTCTCTACTTAGAAAAAAACAAAAAACAAACACAAAAAAATTAGCAGGGTGTCCTGGTGGGCGCCTGTAGTCCCAGCTACTTGGGAGGCTGAGGCAGGAGATTCACTTGAACCCGGGAGGCAGAGGTTGCAGTGAGCTGAGATTGCGCCATTGCACTCCAGTCTGGAGACAGAGCGAGACTCTGTCTCAAATAAATAAATAAACAAATAAATAAATATTTCAAAGTATTCTCTATATTTTTAGGTAAATATATTTTAATATTCTAAACCACACACTGCTAGGAGTGGGGCTATATAAAGTAATTCATCTAAAGAGTCTCCTAGGAATGTATCATGTACAAGGCATTATGCTAGGTAGAAAAGACAATACAAACATATTAATCTCAATAAAAATATGAGGCCGGGTGCGGTGGCTCACGCCTGTAATCCCAGCAATTTGGGAGGCCGAGGCGGGCAGATCACCTGAGGTCAGGAGTTAGAGACCAGCCTGGCTAACATGGTAAAACCCATTTCTACTAAAAATACAAAAAATTAGCCGGGCGCAGTGGTGCACGCCTCTAATACCAGCTACTCGGGAGGCTGAGGCAGGAGAATCACTTGAACCCAGGAGGCAGAGGTTGCAGTGAGCTAAGACTGTGCCATTGCACTCCAGCTTGGGTAACAAGAGTGATACTCCGTCTCCAAAAAAAATAATAATAATAATATGAATCAGGCCTTCCCCTAAGGGCTTACATTTCACAGCTGCAGAGCAGGACTAAAGCTCATGAAGAAACTGCAAAACATCAGACAATGAGAAGTGGTGAGCCATGGAGAAAGGGCAAACTATTAATAAAACAACTATCAATGATAGCCAACTTCTCAACAGCAATAATGGAATCCAGAACACAATGGACTAATATCTTCAAAGGGTTGGGTAAATAACTGACATCCAAAAATTGTTTTTGCAGGGAAACTAAACTGTCTTTCCAGATAGAAAAATATATTTTCAGCTAAGCAAAAACAGAATTTGGAGACTCACTGAAAGAACTGCTAAAGTTCCTTGAGTTTATTTCAGAATAATGAATAATGAATTCTGAGTTGAAAAAAGGAAGAGCAAAGAGACAAATGGTAAACTTGTGATTAAATCTAAAAAACAGTAACAATGCATACAACAATAAAAACAATATCTAACATGTGGTTAAAAGTAAAAATATATATACTTAGCAACCATGACATATAACTCACAACAGGGGTGACTGGTATTCCAACGTTTTATAGTCCTCATATTTACCAGTAGAGAATAAAGATTCTGATTACCATTATAGATAGATGGGTATATATTATACCATTATAGATGGGTATATATTATAATTTCTATATTAAAAACCAGAAGATACGTAGAGATGGTGTGACTGGATAGCCACAGGCAAAAGAATAAAGTTAGACCCCTATTTCATAGCACCCATGAATATTAATTCAAATGAATCAATAGGCCTAAATGTAACAGCTAAAACTATAAAACTCTTAGAAGAAACTAAATAAAATTCATAAAAGAAATCTTCATGACCTTGTACACTGTCTCTTAGCAACCATTAATAACAAACTAAGAAATTTATTCTTATATGCTTACATAAAGCAAGATGAAAAGCTGGTGTTAAGGACAATAAGTTCTTCTTCAAAGCTCCCTTGGTCTCTTGCTTTGTACACAGCCCTTCCTGCTCAATCTGTAATGAGCATGTGTTCCTCAGCGTAATCTGTAACTAGCAAACCTCTTACTCTGTAAACAACTCTTTGTCAGCCCAGACATGTCCAGACATGCCTTGAACTTGTTCTGTAGGCAACTCTTCCCACCTTAGCAACAATCTCCTCCTCCCCTCCTCTCTTAGCAAATTGCATGTTCACCATAGTTAGAAAAGTTTAAGTCTTAGCCAGTCAGGTTAGTTTAGATGGTTTGGTCCGACCCCAGCCAATGGGGAAATAACACAGAAACAGGAACTGCATTAGGGATAAAAACCCTTCTCTCCTTTGTTCAATGTGCTCTTGCGATCGTTACTGACGCAGGCACCACCCTTCTGCAGAAGTAAATTGCCTTGCTGAGAAAACGTTTTGCCTGAGTGCTGGTTCTTCTTTGTAGCACTGAGCAAAGAATTACCCATCTGGGATATCATTCTCCTCCGGGAAAGGGTCTCCAATCACCTCTCATAAGGAGACATGTCCTGCTGCCTCACTGCGGTGGCCTCAGGGGTAAGGAATCAGAACCCACCCAGTGTGAAGAATAAACCTGGACTCTCGGCAACACAGGAAGAAAAAGCCTACAGTACAGATACCACGGCGACAAGGTAACTCTGTGCACAGACCAAAGTAGGAAAAGCCAGGGGGCAGCAGGAGTACTTCCTTGGTGGTGGGGACATCCTGGAGGTTGAAAGTGTGTGAATGAGACATACAATTAAGTGCGAAGCGAGTGTGGAGTCCAGATCCATGGTTCCATGGTCACCTGATATGCCTTAGGGTAGCTTTCCTGTCGAGGGTTTATACCAACCTAAATTCCTGCGAGGGAAGTGACCAGAGAAGGAAGAAGTGAAAGCAAAGGAGTGCAAGAAACCTCCAGTTGGTTGGGGGGCGGGGGCAGTGGTGAGCCTCTAGGGAAAAGGTGCAAGAAATCTCTAGTAAACAGAGGTTGAGCCCCATACACACACAAGAAACTCGAGTTGAGCCGTAGAGAAAGGGTGCAAGAAATTTCTATTAGGAGAGGTTGAGCTCCACTGACTCAGGAAAACTCAGGAAGCACCTAAAACTTCCAGGATGGGAAATACCCCAGACAAGGCAGGGAATCAAAAGGAAAAGACAGACAATATAATTCCCTCTGATAGCTCTCTAGGTCTCATGTTAAAATATTGGAGAGAAAATGAAAGCACCAAACATAAAAAGAAGCAACAAATAATAAAATATTGTTGCTTTATTTAAACCAAAGAACCTACTCTCAAACATTCAGTTTTCTGGCCAAGGTTTGAATCCAGTTAGGACTGGATTTGTCAACTTTTAATAGAATATGTCAATGACAAAAGTCCTGTTTCCCAGGAGGAAATAAACTATGCCCTGTGTTGGCGGCAAGTGCCTGTCATCCTATATCCCCTAAAAACTACAGGAGACAAGCCAGAAACTACTTACCCTTTAGATCACCTTCCCCCGCCAAACACCTCTAACTTCCCTCCCCACTTCAAGCAAATGCAGAAAAAATTAGGAGCTGAAGAAAACACAGAAGGAAAGTGTGTATTACCAGATGGAAGGGAAATGTTGTCTAAACCTCTTGAGAGAAATACTGTCTCAGCTTCATCAAGGAACTCATTGGGGTCCTCAAGCTATATGTGATGCAGTCCTTAGAGTCTATGGGTACATAGGAATACAAACCCTCGCTAAGCAAGTAGTGGATAGTTGCATAGTGTGCAGAAAAACTAATGAGTAAACCCTAAAAAAAAAACCTCCCGGGGGAAGAAATCCAGGGTTAAGGCCATGCCAAAGCATCCAAGTTGACTATACTGAAATGCCCCCAACAGGCCGCCTCAAGTATTTACTAGTAATAGTAGACCACCTTACCCACTGGGTAGAAGCTCTCCCCTTCCCAAGGACAACAGCCAGTAATGTAGTCAAAGCCCTGTTAGAACATATCATACCCAGGCACTAGAAATAAAATGGGAATATTATACTCCCTGGCATCTGTCCTCATCAGGGAAAGTAGAAAAAAAAATGAACCAAAATCTAAAAAATCACCTAACCAAATTAATTCTGGAAACCTGGTTACCATGGACAAGATGCCTTCCTATTGCCTTACCAAGAATCCAAACTGCCCCCCTCAAAAAGACCTTAGCCTGTCTGTCTCTTTCCTCCCTCAGGACTCAAGGCCTCCTAGCGAGATTACATCCTTGTCAAAGGTTGGAAAGAGGGAAAGCTCAAACCCACCTGGGAAGGACCTTACCTGGTACTCCTAACAACTGAAATAGCACTCCGGAAAGCCGAAAAAGGGTGAACCCACCACACAAGTGAAGAAGGCCCCACCTCTGGCAAAGTCATGGACCATCACTCCAGGACCAACAGCCTCAAAACTAACATTCAAACGGGTTTGTCTTTTTCTTCTCCCCTTAGCTACTCAAGGATATCTTACTGTTAATGTAACTATGCTTGTCTAGTCTTACCTTGTGGAGATCTCCAAAGTCAAAGACAGTTAGCTTGTACAGAAAAGTACTTCTGCCCCTCTGTGGAAAGAGTTAATACTCCTGTGTCTTGCATATGGGGGGAATCCTCAGAGGAAGAGTTAGGCAATTGGGGGTTATGGTCTCAGTGGGCAGTTTTAGGGCACTGCCCTAAAACCATACCTACACTTCACCAAAGGGGCCACCCCTTCTGACTGTCAATCTAATCATTGCAATCCAGTACTTATCCATTGTAAAAATTAAAGATCTAAAGCAAACCATAGCCATTGAAACACGGTACCAAGATGCAAATGCCTGGCTGGAATAGATTAAATATTCCATCTGCACGCTAAACAAAAGCGATTGTTACGCTTGTGCGACAGGTAGGCCAGAAACCCAAACTGTCCCCTTTCCACTTGATTGATCCTCTGATCAACCGGGCATGAACTGTATGGTAGCCCTCTTCCAAAATCCCACAGCCTGGGGCAGTAAGGCATGTCAAACCCTCTTGCTGCTATTCCTAGAAGTGAAAAGCCCTGCAGGTCGGCCCCTGAGGGCTATCCAACCCCGTACTACAAATATCAATTTCACCTCGTGTCTCTCACGGCAAGGGGAAAATTTGGCATTCCTTGGGAGTCTAATGGGATGCAGTGAATCTAAGCCTTTTCAACAGCTAACCAATCAGTCTGCCCTTGTTCATCCCCAAGCAGATGTATGGTGGTATTGCAGTGGACCACTATTGGATACTCTGCCAAGTAACTGGAGCGGCACTTGCGCTCTAATCCAATTGGCAATCCCTTTCACTCTGGCATTTCATCAACTAAGCAAAAAGGACAATCGTGAAAAAAGAAGTACCCCCCACGGGTCCTTTGACCCTCACATTTATATAGATGCCATCAGAGTTCCACAAGGGGTGCCAAATGAATTTAAAGCCCAAAATCAAATCGCTGCAGGATTTGAATCTGTATTGTTCTCGTGGGTAACTATAAAGAAAAATGTAAACTGGATAAATTACATTTACCATAATCAACAGCAGTTTGTCAGTTATACTAGGAATGCCATTAAAGGAACAGCTGAACAATTAAGTTCTACCAGCCAGATGGCCTGGGAAAACAGAATAGCCCTGAACAAAATATTAGCTGAAAAAGGTGGGGTCTGTGTCATAATTGGGGCCCAATGCTTACAGAGCCTTAACACCCTAGCAAATGAATTAGCCAAAAATTCTAAAATAGAATTCTAGAATTCTTCTCTAGTCTCACGGAAAAATGGTTTAGAAAATGGAAGGGACTCATAACCTTTACTCCCCTTGCAATTATTATAGGTGTACTCATTCTTGTAGGTTGCTGCATCATACCTTGTATTCGTGGATTAGTGCAAAGGCTTATAGAAAAAGCCTTCACCAAAACCCCTCATGATTCTCCCCTGCCCTACTCACATAAGTTCGTACTCCTAAATGACCAAGAGGAACAACAAATCTAAAATATGTTAAAGAAATTTGAAGGGGAAGAACTATAAAATCAAGAGAGGGAAACTGTTAAGGACAGTAAGTTCCTCTTCAAAGTTCCCTTGGTCTCTTGCTCTGTACACAGCCCTTCCTGCTTGATCTGTAACGAGCACTTGTTCCTCAGCTTAATCTGTAACTAGCAAACCTCTTACTCCGTAAACATCTCTGTCACACCCAGACATGTCCAAACACCCCTTAAACTTATTCTGTAGGCAACTCTTCCCACCTTAGCAACAGACAGTCTCTCCCTCCCCTCCTCTCTTAGCAAACTGCGTGTTCACCATATTTAGAAAGGTTTAAGTCTTAGCCAATTGGGTTAATTTAGATTGTTTGGTCCAACCCTAGCCAATGGGGAAAGGACACAGAAACAGGAACTGTGTTAGGAATAAAAACCCTTTGGCCGGGAGCGGTGGCTCACGCCTGTAATCCCAGCACTTTGGGAGGCTGAGGCGGGCGGATCACGAGGTCAGGAGATTGAGACCATCCCAGCCAACATGGTGAAACTTGTCTCTACTAAAAATACAAAAATTAGCTGGGCGTGGTGGTGGGCGCCTGTAATCCCAGCTACTCAGGAGGCTGAGGCAGGAGAATGACTTGAACCCAGGAGGCGGACGTTGCCATGAGCCGAGACCGCGCCACTGCACTCCAGCCTGGTGACCGGGCAAGACTCCATCTCAAAAAAAATAAATAAATAAAAATCCTCTCTTTTGTTCGGTGTGCTCTCGCGAGCGTGACTGATGCAGGCAGCACCCTTCTGTAGAAGTAAATTGCCTTGCTGAGAAAACTTTTTGCCTGAGTGCTAGTTCTTCTTTGCGGCACCGAGCACTTGTTTCTAACACTGGTTTTTTGTTTGAGTTTTTTTGAGACAAAGTCTCACTCTGTCACCCAGGCTGGTGTGCAATGGTGTGATCTTGGCTCACTGTAGCCCCAACCTCCCAAGCTCTAGAAATACTCCCATCTCAGCCCCCCAAGTAGCTGGGACTACAGGCATGTGCCACAACACCCAGCTAATATTTGTATTTATTGTAGAGACATTGTTTCACCATGATACCAAGGCTGGTCTTGAACTCTTAGGCTCAAGCAATCTGCCTGCCTTGGCTTCCCATAGTGTTGGGATTACAGGTGTGAGCCACCACGCCTGGCTGAAAAGCTGTTTTTAAAAATCAAAAAACAAAAAAACAGGCATTCTGATCTCTAGCCAGATTACTGCCAATTTAAAGGACAATTTGATGTATGGTTCAAAGAGGTCAACAATTCAAAATAAAATATTTTCCAATTTGGTCAAGGGGTGGGGACGGGCGGGAAGCTGGTCAGAAAAAAAAAAAAACAGTGACTTTTTACATTTACCAAAAAAAATTAGAATTTTTTTCTTGCCTGCCTTTTAAAATTTCATTCAACTCTACTATTTTCTGGACATCTCACACTAGTTTCAACTTAAGATTAAGTCTCATCAGGCAGTTGACCTGTAGAGAGCTGTAAGTGTTACTTCTCTCCTACAAAAATTTTTACAAATCAAACTATCATGGGATGTAAGTTTTGAAAACACAAAGTTTCTTAGAAATAAAACTATTACTTTATGATAGGACAGATAATAAATGATAATCTGGTCCTTAATCTACCTGCACTGTTTGGAGAGATATGGAGTCAATAATCTCCCTATGTTATAGGAGTTATTAAGAAATTATTTTAGGCAGATAGAGAAGACAAGGGGTCCTTGGCAAGTTTCTTTTCTTTTAAGGCAGCTCCAGATACATTTCTTGCATAGCAGAAAAATGGCCTGAAGGGCGGGCCAGCAAGCTTTGATATGCAAATGCCAGCCATTAGAAACTGGGTCCACTCAATATGGCAATTCCCACCTTCTTCTTGTCACTACAAGTGCCTAGCATCATGGCCACCCCCACATATCCCCACGTGTGTAGAACATCATGGTGCCCTGCATTTGCATATTAAAAGGCTAGGGTGGGAGGACCAGATTTTTGTGGGCTACATGAATGACATACCTGGTCAACCCAATCCCCTGGACTCTATGCAAATCAGACACCAGCTCCTCCAGCCTCCTAATATAAATGGCTGTTTTCTGCTGCACTCAGGGTTCCCTCTCTCAGCTTGGAGCCCCCTCCCTCTGTCTCTGTATGGGGGAGCCCCTTCCTTCTTTCTTGCCGATTTATTAAACTCTCTCCGCTCCTTAAAACCACTCCACGTATATCCATGTCGTCGTATTTAAACTGGCGTGAGAAAAGGACCCTGGTATTCCCCTCCAGTCATCAGAGTCGTATCATTTTGGTGCACTGGCCGGGAATCCGAGGTACAACATTCACTGAAGTGGTGATTATACAAGCGAGCTTAAAATCTGTTCTATCATTCTGAGGTGCTCTTGGCCTCTATTTTAAAATCAAATCAAATCAATCAAAAGGCATCTATCTGTCTGCTGGTTAGCTACACTTATCGTTGGCTGCTGTTCTAAAGACTCAGATGTGAGGCTTGCTGGTGAGAACATGGAGAACCCCCCAATACCCACAGGTGATTGGGAATGTTGGCCGTATTTCGAATCAGCTTCCTTTCATGGGGAGACCTCGCCGTTGCGCAAGGCTGGGAAAAGTTCTGAGGCAACTGAGCATCTCTGGGCAGGGCACACCCTGGTGTGACTCAAAGACCTCTGGACCAGACCCAGCCTCCAACAGCCCATTTCAGGTGCTGGCAGAGAATCCTCAGCTATCCGGTCATGAAACTTTCCTTCCTTTTCTATCTGTGGTCTCTTACTCTGTGTGTATGTGTCAACTGTGTGGGAATTTAGTAACCGGGAGTTTAACTCAAGAATGCCATTGCAATCTCCTGAACAGAGGGTTCCTCCGGGACAGTGAGCCTCTCTCTCTCAGCCCCTTGGTCTGGAGAGCACACGGCATTTCCAGGTCTCTCTACCGCTTGTCTGAGGAGCACACAGTATTTCTAAGCCAACAGTGCCACCTAGAGGAAACAGAAATCCTCTACATGAGGCACTTTTTTTAATGCTAACACTGCAGCTTCCTTTTGCACTGCTAGAAATCAGGCTCTAAGCCTCTTCCAGGAATGGGAAAATTCTGCTTTCAACAGTTAGAAATTAAATGTCTTCCATAGCCAAATTTTAGTCTCAATATTGTCCCATCAGCAGGAAAACAGCCATTTGGTTCCTACATTTCTTTAAGTCACCTATTCTGTCTCCAACAGAGACAGTACTTAATTAGTAAGGGGATTTTAAGTCTGGAAGTTAACTGAAACCATTTTTCTAAGGGTAAATGCTTTAGCATGGGCCATAATAGCAGGATATAGAGTTCAATCTAGCATAACCCCTCCATTAAAGGGGCCTTCCCCAATTACACAGTTTTCCCTGAGATCCATTTTTTTTTAGGGAGGTACACAGGTCACACAAGTCTAGGAGGTCAAAGGGAAATAACAAGCAGAGGACTGGGACTACTTGGGTAAGTGTGACTAGGCCTCAAAAGTCTAGTTTCTCTGGTGCCATGGCTTGGAGGGTCACACCTACAGCCACAGGCGGCACATTTAACTGGGTGCCGGGACCCAGGAACCAGGGAGGGAGACTAGTTAGAGGAATGCCCCCTACTGTTTTCTTCTCCACCCTGAGTCATACACCAAAAGGAAGGAGACTAAAAGGACACTTTTATTCTCACTTCTCTTTCTAGATGGCCAACAGATCGTCTTCAGCATGCACTCCTCTGGAATGTATTTTAAAGCACTGGGACTCCTTCAACCCTGAGACTTTGAAAAAAAAGTGACTCATATTCTATTGCACAAGAGCATAGCCTTCTTACTATCTTGGGGACAGATAAACCTGGCCCGCTGCGGGGAGCCTTGATTTTAATATTATCCAACAGTTAGATCTTTTCTCCAAACAGAAGGGCAAATGGACTGAGATCCCCTATGTACAGACTTTCTTTGCCCTGTGAAACAGCCCAGACCTTTACAAGTTCTGTACAATTGACCCAGTTCTTTTAGCGGCCACAGGGAATCGTTCCCCAGAGCTAAAGCAGGTTCCAGAGGAGCAATCTGAAACAGCTATTGAATGTCCCAATCCTTCCAGTCCCCCTCCAATCATACTATCAGCTCCTCCAGCTCCACTATCTCCAGTATATCCTACTCTCCCCGCTTCATTCTTACCTCTGCAGGAAATGGCTGATAGGAATGGTGCCATGAGGGTTCAAGTTTCCTTCTCATTACAGGACCTTAAGCAAATAAACAGAGACTTGGCCCAATTTTCTGATGACTCCGATAAGTATATAGAAATTTTCCAAAATTTAACTCAGGTGTTTGATCTCACATAGAGGGATGTTATGTTGCTGCTAAGTCAGACCCTCACTGGGGCTGAAAAGCCAGCAGTTCCACAGGCAGCAGAAAAATATGGATATAAGCAACATGCCTCCTGTAGCAGACCAAGGAGAAAAAGAGGAGACAAGGAAGGTAAGGAAGAAGTGGAAACTCCATTCCCACTAGGAAGGGAAGCAGTTCCAGCGGACAACCCTGATTGGAACCCCAATAACGCAGGAAATGAATGGAAAAGGAAGCACTTCTTAAGGTCTATGTTAGAGGGCCTATGGAAGACCAGGGCCAAACCTCTCGATTACTCTAAACTATCTATGATAGACCAGATGAGAATCCCACAGCCTTTATGGAAAGGCTAAGAGAGGCACTAATAAAACACACCTCTTTATCATGATTCAGTCGAGGGACAGCTAATCCTGAAGGACAAGTTTATTACACAGTCAGCTCCCGATATTGGAAAGAAACTACAGAAACAAGCTATAGGACCAGATAGCACCCTAGAGAACCTCCTGAGAATAGCCACTTCAGTCATTTACAATACAGATCAGGAGGAGGCCCAAGAAAAGGAAAGGAAATATAAGTGAAGAACAGAGGCTCTAGTAGCAGCATTGCACGCTTGTAAAGTCCAGGATCCCTGAGGTGCATCTGCTAGCTGTTATCAATGTGGCAAGTCAGGGCATTTTAAGAGGGAATGCCCAGGCAGCAAGACGAAGCCACCTTGACCCTGTCCAGCCTGTGGCGGAGACCACTGGAGATGGATCTGCCCCCAGAGGCAGAGGTCGCTGGGTTCAGAACCAGTCTCATAGATGGTCCAGCAGGACTGACGGGTCCCGAGGCTTAAACCCCCGGCTCCAGCGACTCAGACTGCCATTACAGCACAGGAACCCTGAGTGATTCTGGAAATTGAAGGAAGGAAGGTAGATCTCCTTCTGGATACTGAAGCCAGTCTCTTGCTCCTCCTCTCTAATTCAGGCCTCCCCTCTTCCCAGAGCACAACCATAAGGGGTGTATCACGAAAAACTCTAACCCAATATTTTTCTCAACCCCTTTTGCAGATGGGGAGACTTACTATTTAAACATGCCTTTTTAATCACGCCTGAAAGTCCCACTCCTTTATTAGGTAGATATATTCTAGCTTGCATGGGGGCCTGCAGCATCTTTACAGCCCCAGGACAAACTCTATCTCCCCCTGATGGAAGCTAACATTAATGTGGAAGTGTGGGCAACTTAAGGAAGAATAGGTTGAGCTATAACCACTACGCCAGTCCAGATCTATCTTAAGGATCCCACTTCTTTTCCTAACCAGAGATATTATCCCTAAGGCCAGTGGCTAGGAAAGGGCTAGAAGCCATTATTAATAACCTAAAGATGCAGGGCCTCCTCAAACCCTGTAATAGCCCCTGCAACACCCCAATATTAGGAGCACAGAAACCCAATGGGGAATGAAGCCTGGTTCAGGACCTTCGCCTCATTAATGAAGCTGTAGTTCCAATCCATCCAGTGGTCCCTAATCCCTATACCCTGTTAACTCAAATACCTGAGGGAACTAAATGGTTTACAGTCCTAGATTTAAAGGATGCCTTTTTCTGTACACCGTTACATCCTGACTGTCAATACCGGTTTGCCTTCAAATATTCCTCCAGCCAGACGCCCAGTTAACACTGACGGTGCTGCCTCAGGGATTTTGAAATAGTCCTCATCTGTTTGGACAGGCACTGTCACAAGACCTCTCTGAGTTCTCTCAACCTTAAGTTAAGGTCTTGCAGTATGTTGATGATATTCTGCTATGTGCCCCAACTGAGGATGCTTTTCAGGAAGGCACTGAAGCTCTTCTCAATATGTTAGCTAACAGAGAATATAAAGTTTCAAAACCCAAGGCCCAGCTCTGCAAAACCTCAGTGAAGTACACCTAGGCTTAGTGCTGTCTGAGGGGACCAGAGCATTAGGGAAGGAGGGAGTTGAGAATATTTCTTCCTTTCCCCTCCCCAAAACCCTCAAGCAACTCAGAGGATTTTGGGGCATTACAGGATTTTGTAGACTATGGATACCTGGGTATGGTGAAATAGGCTGTCCATGATATAACCTCATAAAATAAACTCAAGGAACTAAAACTCATCTTTTAACCTGGGAATCTGAAGCTCAAAAGGCCTTTGACCAGCTAAAGCAAGCCTTGCTTAAGGCACCAACTTTCACCCTTCCTATAGGGAAGGACTTCAATCTGTATGTATCAGAAAAGAAGGGAATGGCCCTGGGAGTATTAACACAGGCCCAAAGACCAGGCCAACAGCCAGTGGGTTGCCTAAGTAAGGAACTTGAGTTGGTGGCTAAAGGATGGCCAGCATGCCTCCCCGCCATTGCCTCAGTGGCTCTGTTGGTCCCAGAAGCCTCCAAATTAACTCTGGAAAATGATTTAACTATTTATGCCCCACCTAACGTGGCAGGACTACTGCACTTTTGGGGGAGCCTTTGGCTAACAGATAGCTGACTTCTTAAATATCAGGCCCTGCTGTTAAAGGGTTCCAACATCCAATTAAAGAATTGTTCTCACCTAAATCCAGCCGCCTTCCACCAGGAGGAAACTGGGGAATCTGAGCATGACTATGAACAAATCATAGTACAGACCTATGCAGCCAGGGAAGATCTCAAGGAAACTCCCCTAGAGAACCCAGACTGGACCCTCTTGACAGATGGGAGCTCTTTTGTAGAACAAGGAATCTGTAAGGCAGGATACACAGTAGTCACTCTACATGACATCACTGAAAGTGTGTCACTCCCTCCAGGCACAAGCGCTCAATTAGCTGAGCTAATCGCTCTTACAGAAGCAATTGAATTAAGCAAAGGAAAGGTAGCTAACATTTACACAGACTCCAAATATGCTTTCCTGGTTCTCCATGCTCATGCTGCCATTTGGAACGAAAGGCATTTTCTTACCACCGATGGATCTCCTATAAATACCTCCAGGAAATTAACAGGTTATTATCCTCAGTTTTTCTTCCATGAGAAATAGCAGTGATGCATTGTAGGAGACATCAAAAGGGAACAGATGAGGTAGCCAAAGGAAACAGATTAGCTGATCAGGCAGCTAAGTCAGCAGCAAGGAAGGCTCAAGACAACACACTTCAAACCCCTCTAATCTGGGAAGGCTCCATGAGAGAAATTAAACCTCAGTACTCCCCCACAGAAATAGGATGGGCCACTTCTCGAGGGTATACATTTCAGCCCTCAGGATGGCTACAGTCACAAGATGGCAAACTCCCCTTGACGGCCTCCAGCCAATGGAAAGTCCTTAAAGTGCTTCACCAAGCTTTTCACTTGGGAGAGGATAAAACTTATCAATGTGCCCAGAGATTGTTTTCAGGAAAGAACTTACTAAAAACAATCAAGCAAGTTGTTCATGCTTGTGAAGTCTGTCTTAAAAATAATCCCCTGAACAGGCGACTCCTTCCTCCTCAAACCCAAAGAACAAAAAGATACCCAAGGGAGGAGTGGCAGGTAAACTTCACCCACATGCCAAAGACAAAGGGCATTCAATACCTGCTGTATGGGTAGATACCTTCACTAACTGGGTAGAAGCATTTCCATGTTGTACAGAAAAAGCCTCTGAGGTAATAAAAGTATTAGTTAATGAAATAACTCCCTGCTTTCATCTATCCAAGTACCTTCAAAGTGACAATGGGCCCTCATTTAAGGCAGCTGTCACACAAGGGATCTCAAAAGCACTAGGCATAGAATATCATCTCCATTGGGCTTAGAGACCCTAATCCTCAGGAAAGGTAGAGAAAACTAATGATATTACCAAGAGACACACCAGAAAATTGTCCCAAGAAACTCACCTTCCTTGGGTCACTCTTCCTCCCACGGCCTTACTACGAATAAGAGATACCCCTTGAAAATTAGGTCTTAGCTTTTTTGAAATGCTGTATGGACACACTTTCCTTACCAATGATTTTTCTATTAGATCGGGAAACCTCTGAGCTAGTTAAGCATGTAACCTCTCTGGCTCACTTCCAACAGGAATTAGCACAATTAGCGAAAACCCAATCCCAGGAAATTGGACCACCTCTATTTAACCCAGGAGATTTGGTACTGGTAAAGGATCCTCCTCTCTCTCTCCCTTCCTAAGCCCAACCTAGGAAGGGCCTCACACTGTTCTTCTTCCAACTCCCCCAACAATAAAAGGTACAGGAATCGACCGACTCCTGGAAACATCACACTCAAGTCAAAGCCTGGAGAGCTGAGGGAGCAACCCCCAACAGCCCAGAGGAACGTCCTGAATAGCAATGTGAAGAAATGGAAGATCTTAAGCTGAAAATCATAAAAGATAAGTAACTATATGAGAACTAATCATCTTATTCAGTCTCACCCCTACCTCAACAAATACTTTTTGTCATTTCTACCTCTCCTTTTGAGCCAAATATCAGAACTTCTTTTTGGTGGAAATTATTTACTACTCCAACCTTGCAGGAATTGCTATACTCACTCTGCTATTTGCAGTAGAACTATATACTGTAGCACCCTCAGGGTGGAATGTCAGAGAGAGAATCTCAATTACTACTGCATTTTGCTTAATTATTAACCTCACAGCAGGAATAACAGTTACTAACAGGAAGTAAACATGAGCATTTTACTATCACTAAATCTGTTAGAACTCTTTATTGGACTTAGTAATACGTCGCACCATCTAGCTCCTACAATATCTGCCATGGCCCATTTGTACAGTAAGACTAATTGTTGGGTCTGTCCTAAGTGGTTCGCTCAGTTCAGTGACACTAAGGAACCTTATAGTTACCCGGAACTCACCATCTTAGGATTCCCTTTGTTGGCTTTACCTTTAACCCTTAAAGACTTATCAGGCATAAATGGGACATGGTATGGGAACACTTTCAATTGGGTGACTAACTCTTCCCAGGAGAACACTCTGCCCCAGCGCCAAAGAACTTTCTCCCAAAGATAAGCTTCACACCCTCAGGCTTGGAAAAGTTGATGGAGTAATAGCAAATGCCTCCCTCTGCTTTAAAAGTAGTGGGGAAGAACCATACTTGGGAGTAACATCACACTTGTAATTGCTGATAGTTCAAAGATTTGAGGAGAGTGCAACAAGGGTGATATACAAGGATAGAAGCCCTAGTGGGGGGCTTTCAGAAACTAGTCTCCTTCTGGTTGGAAGTACCGATGGGAGTGGCATGCTCTAAGTAACCAACTTGACTATAATGTAAAAAATAACACATGGGTCTTTCCAAACTCCCCCCCACCCATGGAATTCCAGACCCTTGTATGATGTTTGCTAACAGTGGCGGCTTACTGATCTGAGGGCGAACTGAAGACATCTGGACTGACACCCCTTGCCACAAGAATCATCTGAGATATTGGCCAGGGCATATTACGTCTCTAATTTTTCAAAACTCCATTTGTCAGGTGGACCCTTTTCACTTGGCATGTCAAATTCCAAATGACATCGTAAATGACTACCCTAAATATGGTTATCTTTATCCCAAGGATGCCTCTATTATATGTAAAGAAAGGAAAGTTCTAAGATATGAGAAAAATCTGCCAGTGTCTCTCACAAGCCACAACTTAGAACCATCCCTTCAAGGAACAGGGCTACATTTTCTTTGTGGCTCCTGGATACACTTAATCCTCCCAAGGCATTAGAAGGGAACTTGTACTATAGCTGCAGTAGTTCTCAACTTATTAAATTCTACCAAGATGACAGCATCATCTGGGGACATCCCTAACTTAGCCTCTTTTCTAGAAACTGCACTATTCTGAATACATCGGACAAAGGGATCTATCATTTCTATGCCCTCATATGGAGATTTAACTGAAAGGGCAGCCTGGGGAGGGCATGCACATGACAATCTCATCTTAGAAAAAGCATGGATGGGAAATTCTATAGCCAGAGGTATATTCTGGTTTATGGGCATCCCCTCTCCTTGAAAGATCAATACTTAATATCTCTATTATAATGCAATGAGGATGGAAGGCAACTGTATGGGCCATAGAGGCACAACCACAATCTATAGACTCTTTAGCCTTAGTAGGTAGTAGCACAAAATCGACAGGCCTTAGATGTCCTTACAGCTGAAGTGGGAGGTACCTGTGCACTTTTAAATGCAACATGCTGCTTCTGGATTAACCCTCTAGTAGATTAAGGAAAATCTACAGGTACTTAAAGATCAAATCAAAATTATTGACAGGCTAAGAGAAAATGAAGGCTTCAGCCCCAGGTGACTACAATCCCTCTTTAATGAATTCCAGTCTTCTTTATGGAATTGGTTAGCCCCTTTATTAAGCTCCCTCTTGCTTACATGTCTTACATTAACTCAATACTATAACTCAATACTATATAACTTGTATAACTCAGTACTATAACTAGAATTGTTTCCTATCGCCTAGAAGCAATCAAATTCCAAGTGGTGTTGCAAACCAAACCACACATGGACATGCCATTCTTCCGAGGATCCTTGGATCTACCCCAGGAGGAGCCCTAGCTGCTGTTCCCCATTCAATGCTCCTTTTCAGCAGGAAGTAGCCGGAAAGAGTCATCACCCAAAACCCCCTAACAGCAGTTAGGGTGACATCTCCTCCGGGTAGAATGTTATAGGAGTTATTAAAAAATTATTTGGCCACTGCCCTCACTGCCGCTGCTGCTGTTGACCTCGCCAGGGCTGCTTCGTCTCCGAGGTCAGACTGCTCCCAATGCCATGAACGGAGACAGCACCTTTGCAAAGAGACCCAGGGATGATGCTCAGATATCAGAGAAGAAACACAAGGCCTTCAATGATATTGCCAGATACTTATCTAATAAAGAGTGGGGAAAGCTGAAAAACTCAGAGAAAATCACCTATGTGTATATGAAGAGAAACTATGAGACCATGACTAAACTAGGTCTCTAGGCCACCCTCCCAACTTTCATGTACAATAAATGGGCTGCAGAATTCCAGGGGAATGATTCTGATATAGACTAAAACTGCAGGAATCAGGATGAATATCCTCAGATGGCTTTCGGCATGCTACAAGGGAACTTTCCAAAGATGATGCCCAAGAAGCCAGCAGAGGAAGGAAATGATTTGAAGGGAGTGCCAGAAACATCTGGCTCACAAAACAATGGGAAACAGCTGTGTCCCCTGGGAAAAGAAAGTACCTCTGAGAAGACTAACAAGACATCTAGACCCAAGAAAAGGGGGAACACGTCTGGACCCACGGACTGCGAGAGAGAAAGTATCTAGTGATTTATGAAGAGATCAGAAACCCTGAGGAAGATGACAAATAACTCCCCTCAGGGATAGGATGCAAGCCCATGATGAGAAGCAGAAACTGGTGACCTTCTATGAACATGGGCATGGCTGCGAACCCCTCATCATCAGGTGTATAGCAAGTGAAAGCAGGAGTTCACGACAGTGAAAAGTTGAGCGTCATTTTTCTTACAGTGTGCCAAGAGTTAGATATTAGCATTTTCATTGTATTTTCTTACAGTGTGCCATCCTGTTAGATATTTGCATTTTTGTTGATGAATGAGACATAGTTAATGCATATTTCTGTTTGTGTATCCATGCACCTACCTCAGAAAACAAGTATTGTCAGGTATTCTCTGCATAGAACAGCACTACCCTCCTCTCTCCCCAGATGTGACTATTGAGGCCAGTTCTGGGTGTTTCAGATTTTTTTTCTCTGCATTTACACACACACACACACACACACACATACACACGTGGAATACCACTATAAATATCTCCATCTGCTTTTCCCCATCGCTAATGAGTCCTGGTCAAGCCCCCCTCACTCTGTTTCCTGTTCAACATGCACTCCCTGCTGCAAACTCCCCTCATCTGATTCCCCTGTGTTGGTCACTGCCAGTTAATAAACATTTACAAACTTAAAAAAACAGATAGGACAAGGGGTCCTTGGCAAGGTTTTTTTCTTTTAAAGCAGCTCCAGAAACTTTATTGCCTAGCAGAAAAACAGCTTGAGGGGCTGAGCCGGCAAGCTTTGATATGCAAATACCAGCCATCAGAAACTGGGTCCACTCAATACAGCGATTCCTGCCTCAACTTCTTGTCACCACAAGTGCCTAGCATCATGGACACCACCACATATCCCCATGTGTATAGAACATCATAGCCCCCTGCATTTGCATACTCAAAGGCTAGGGTGGGAGGACCCTTTTTTTGGCGGGTTAAGTGAATGATATACCTGGTCAAACCAATCCCCTGGGCCTCAAATCAGACACTGCCTCCTCCAGCCTCCTAATATAACTGGCTCTTTTCCACACTCGGAGTTCCCCCTCTCAGCTTGGAGCCCCCCTCCATCTCTGTACAGGAGAGCCTCTTCCTTCTTTCTTGCTTATTATTATTTGTGTATCCATGCACCTACCCCAGAAAACAAGTATTGTCAGGTATTCTGTGCATAGAACATCACTACCCTCCTCTCTCCCCAGATGTGACTACTGAGGCCAGTTCTGGGTGTTTCTTGGTATTAAACTCTCTCTGCTCCTTAAAAGCACTCCACATGTGTCCGTGTCGTTTTATTTAAACCGGCGAGACAAAGGACCCTGGTGTTCCTCCGGTCATCGGAGCCATATCACCTACATTCACGATTGTGTGACAAGAGCCCTTCCAGGTCCATGGGTTCTTCACACATCTCTAAAATCAATTCAGTTCAGTTCAGCTGGGTAAGGGTCCAGCAATCACACTCTCTCTACCAGGCTGAGAAGCAAAATGATGGCAAAAATGAATGAATGAATGATATATACTGAAGGTAAAACTGAGGTCCATAAAGATACAAAAATATGCCTCCAACAATTTTAATTTCTGCAAACTTACTAGAGCTGAGGCAGGAGAACAGGGTCTGGAGGCAGGGAACCTAAGGCCAATTCACGCTGACTTCCTAGAACTAAATTAAGATGAAAACCCCAACTTTTCACACCCAAGTAACAAAAGTACCAGAGGCTACTACTCCCTTTGCAAAGGCCCCCTCCCACCCTGCCTTTTCTGTGTGGCAGATGAAAAACTGAACGTACCTCTGATTGGTCCCCTCCTGCAACCAATCAGGCTGGTCATGGGCCAAGTCTTCATTTGCATAGAAGTGTAATTTTGTAACTTCACTTCAGCCTCTGACAGGTCACTTTCCACAACCAATCAGACGTCTGCATAGGGTGTAACTTTGTAACTTCACTTCAGCCTCTGATTGGTCACTTTCTGCAACCAATCAGACTGATCATGGGACACTACTTCATTTACATAGGGTGTACACGAAGTAACAAAATGGGAAACCTCTAGAGGGTATTTAAACCCCAGAGAATTCTGTAACCAGATTCTTGAGCTGCTTGCTTGAGCCCACTCCCACCCTGTTGAGTGTGCTTTCATTTTCAATAAATCTATGCTTTTATTGCTTCATTCTTTCCTTGCTTTGTGTATTTTGTCCAATTCTTTGTTCAAAGCACCAAGAACCTGGACACCCTCCACCGGTAACAGAGCTATAATGACATTATACATCATGTTTAAGAATTTATGATTCAAATATTTAATTTTCAGCAATAACATAAATTAACGAGAATTTAGAGATAAGGAACAAAGTTACTTGATTTACAAAAGAATGTAAATCAAATTGTTTTGAATACTGCCTTGAAATTACGATTTCACAAGCAAAAAAGTTCTTTGTATAACCTCTGACCTGCTACCATCTATAAATAAAGAACTAAAGTACAAAGAGGTTAAATTACTTGACCAAGAACAGAGCTCAAAATAAAATCCTAGTATCCTGTTTCTCAATCTAGTGTTACCTATATTATCCTACACTATATCTCTCAGGGCTTTTCTCCCTTTGGATTCTGCCTTCCAAATACAGACATCTAGCACCAATGGTTAAAGAACAGGGCTTGGGGCTAAACAAACAGACTAAGAGAAACTCGTCTCCACCACTTGAAAAGCTATATAACCCTGAATACATTAACATCCTCTAGGTCTTTTTTTTTTTTTTTTTTTGATCAGTAAAAAGGAGATAATTGTATTTTACCTCAAAAGGACTCCATAATAAAAGAATTTTAAAATAAGTTATATATAATGTGTAACATATTGCAAAATTTTATGAGAGATATTTTCTGTTAATTTTAAGGCTAATTGACCAAATAATTCACTGTCATATCTGGAAGTGATGTTATTTGAATATCCATTATCAGAGTCCTGAAAGTTTCAAAGTTGCAAAAACATAGTATTATTCACCAATGAATTGACTGTTAATAAAAAGCAGAACAGGCTAGAAAATGGTTGAAATATCACCTACCTTATATATAAAATGGGTTTATAATTGTACCACATTAAATTTTTTAATTAAATGAAAAATTTATGCAAACCTCTTATCATGATCATGATGCCCTGTAAATAAATAGTAAATGCTCAATAAATGTTGGTATCATTATTACCAAAAGGTTAAAAAGGAGTTCTCTATTTGCTTAAAAATAGTACCAAGGGTATACGTGGATGAGCAGAAGTAATGGCTGAAATAAGATTGTCATGTATTATAATTGTATAAATTTGGTGTGTACAAATATAGGTTACCACTTTTGCCTTCTTTCTACTTTGGTGTATGTTTGAAATTTTATGGAAAAAAAAGAAAAAGATAGTGAGAACAAGAAGATATTTTACATTAAGATGAGTTGTTTTAAAGAAACCATTCAGCAAAGTAAACTAATGAACAAATGAAACCTAATCATTGTAATAAAATACATAAGCAAGGAAAAGAGACAGAGCCCCTGGGAAGTTTTCATATTGTCCTTCAAAATTAGTAGTTGCCTACAGCTGGGAAAATAGAGGGTTTGAAGGATAATGGCTAAAGGGGATATAATTTCTTTTTGGTGTAATAAAAATGTTCTAAAATTGACAGTGGTAATAGATGTATGACTCTGTGAATATACTAAAAGTCATTGAATTGTACACTTCAAACGGGTGTATGGTATAAGTCCATTACTGTACTGCTATAAATACCTGAAAAAGAATTTAAAAAAAAAAAAAGAAAAGAAAAGAAATATCGAGCCTGAGGTTTTTATAAAAGAAAGAGGTTTGATTGGAAGGCAAAGCAGGAGTAGGTGTCTTACATGGCAGGAGGAAGAGAGAGAGGAGAGAGGTGCTACACACTTTTAAACAACCTGATCTTGTGAGAAGTCTATCACGAGAACCGCACTAGGGGGATGATGCTAAACCATTCACGAGAAACTGCCTCCATGATGCAATCACCTCCCACCAGGCCCTACCAACATTGGGGAATACAATTTGACATGAGATTGGTGGGGGGAGGGGCAGCGCATCGCAATAATGCTGTTT
Source organism: Homo sapiens (assembly GCF_000001405.40). Lineage (NCBI taxonomy): Eukaryota > Metazoa > Chordata > Mammalia > Primates > Hominidae > Homo > Homo sapiens. The sequence goes on from NC_000006.12 coordinate 118,593,684, forward strand.
AAAAAAAAAAAAAAAAGTATGGTCTTGATTTCCCAAATATCTCCGAAATCATCTAGTTGTCTTTTTCCTGTCTCTTTTTATGAACAAGTCACCACCAGCTTCTACTTCAACAGCAAGTGGTCTCCTACCTTCCAGTTTTGTTTTCTGGGATGTGATCCATCCTCAACACATCATCCACAATGTTCTTTTACTTCCCAGCCTTTGACCAAGCTACTCTCTCAGCCTAGACTACTCTCCTCCCAAACCCCTTTTACCTTGCTGGTTCCTACTCACCTTTTTGGGCCTCAACCTAAACAACATTTCTGCCAGGAGTCTTTTCCCTAATCCCCTGGACTTCTGTATGTCCCTCTGTTGTCTATCCCTACCACCCTGTGTACTTCGCCTATCGTAACGCTCCTAACTATTTACTGTCTTCTCCTCTAGACTTCATATATACAATGATTAGGGGAAATGTCTAATTCATACCCCCAGCACAGTGCTTAACATGCAACAGACATTCAATTAATATTGGCTAAACAAATAAATAATCCAACAAGTCCTTATCTTTATAAGGCTTTTGTTTTTACACAAAATGAAGATAGTGTACCAAATGATAACTTGTTTCTTCCTTTCTGATATATATCCACAGGATGACCTCAAAATTTATAGTATTCAAGAGCCCTACGATTTCTCAGTAAAAACAACCAACTAATGAAGATATGATTAAATTGAAGTTCATTTTTATCAGCCCCTATTTAAAATAAAATAGGTTAATTAGATAAGAAAATTATCTCTAATACAAATTAGCTGTTGGGAATAATCAAAAGAAAAAACTTAACACTATCTGTACCTTTTTAAAATAAAATACATAAGTACACTTAAAAATCAGCCCAAAACAGACATTAAAAACTATATTTAAGAACTCGCCGGGCACGGTGGCTCACGCCTGTAATCCCAGCACTTTGGGAGGCCGAGGCTGGTGGATCACGAGGTCAGGAGATCGAGACCATGGTGAAACCCCATCTCTACTAAAAATACAAAAAATTAGCCGGGTGTGGTGGCAGGCGCCTGTAGTCCCAGCTACTCGGTAGGCTGAGGCAGGAGAATGGCGTGAACCCGGGAGGCGGAGCTTGCAGTGAGCCGAGATCCCGCCACTACACTCCAGCCAGGGCGACACAGCGAGATTGTCTCAAAAAAAAAAAAACAAACAAAACAAAACAAAAAAAAAAAACCTCAAATTTTTGAAAAAGATAAATGAATTGCCTGAGAGCCTGCCTATCAGGAGCCACATGATACAGGAGAGAAAGACTGTCCTGAGGAAGGTTACGAGCCAAGCCTAAGCAAAAAGTAAGTTTCTTTTTTTTGCCTCAAGGTCCTATACTCCCAGTTTCCTCTTACAATCCCTCTGTCACTCAACTCTGGTCCCACAGCAAGATTATGCTATGTACAACAAGTGCTGCATACTTCAAAAACAACTTCCTCAAACTAATATCTGTGGCAACAGTAGCTATTTAATGGCCTCCAGGTCTCAGCAAAGAAATCCTAGGAAAACACTGGGGATCAGCTATGTACCTTATGTTACAATTTGGTAGCCTGGTAGACACATCTATCCTCATTGTCGTAGATCTATTTCCTTCCAACCTGGAATTTGAAACTCCATGAACAAATTACAACAGCTAAAAAGTGGTGCTGCTAATGTTAGTGTCTCAATTTAGCATTATTTGAAATCTCAAAATACCCTGGCTAAACGAAAATTCCTCAATGGTAAGTCTAGAATAATTTTCTGTACTAGAATCCCTTCGCTGCTGAGATTCTCATGTAATCCTCTCCTCCATGTTTATCTCCCTGCAATTCTGCCATTCTTGGAACACAGTAAGTATTCAATAAATATATATAAGTGAATAAATGAATGAACCTTCTAAAAGCTCCAGGTTAAAAAGGAAGAGGCAACCACCACCTCAAATATCTCCTAAAAGTAACTAACAGTGTCGTACATATAATGCATGAAGTATAATAAGTGTGTAAATTATAAGGTATATTTGTCAACTCCCATGTAGCATGTAAATTGTGTCATTATTTAATATGTACACTGAGGTTTTTACAATAATCAGTCTTTTAAGAATTTAAGTGCATTCACACATTTCACCTAAAAATTATCACAACAAACCAAATTAATGCAGCACTTCATGCCACAGTCTCACCAATCAAGAAGAAATGCTTACTCCAAGCCAAATAGTAATAGTAATAAAGTTGAAGGCAGCTAACTAAAATATGTTGTAGATACAATCTAAAAGTAAAATTATATTTGATAATACACAAATTTCATGTACATTATTTAGAAATTAATATAATTATGTGACATGGTAATTCTCAGCTGGGTGTTGTAATAAAAGGAGATAAACACATTTTAGGTTATTCTAAAATGTTTGGAATTTAGCTAGCATAGATTTGTTTAATTTTATAAATGAGAAAAAAATGAACATCTTATAGACCTGTGGTTAATGGATGACCCCAAAAAATTATATAATCAAAGACCAAAGGATAAAAAACATATCTGCTTGACACGGATATGACATAATCTGATATATGGCATGTTTTAAAGTTGCTATTATATTATAAATATCAACCTATTCCTTATGTTCTGATGCAGGTTATTCCCAATATTCAGTAATCTTCCACAGTGGTTATTTTCCTGAGTGCTTTACAATAAACAGATAAGCCATGAGGCAAACCCAACAATGAAAAACAATGTTTATCAACTACAAGACTCAGGACTTGGTAAGCACACTTACCAAAGAACAGATAAGGTAAAGAACAAATAGCTCCCATAAATTAAAAATCATGAAAACTTCAGAAAGACATGAATTAAGGAAGGAAAGCACACACTAATTGGAACCAAGCGTTACATCAACACACATAGCAGGCTTTCCTTCTAAATAGTCTTTATTATGCCTGCTAAAACTACTTATATTCAGGTAATATCTTAATACAACTGATTTTTTTAAAAAAAAAACAAGAGTACCTTTCCAGGCAATAATAAATGCAACCAGTATCATTCATTACCAGCACCAATCACTCAAACCACAATTCTAATTCATTTTCCACAGAAGTCTCGATTTCCTGTTATTTATTGTAAGTCTTCCAGCAGTCTTACTATTCCTTCTTATTTTTATCCACCATTCCTTATGCCTCTTTCCTAGAACTATTTGCCCTTTGATATGGTTTGGCTGTGTCCCCACCCAAATCTCATCTTGAATTGTAGTTCCCATAATCCCCACATGTCGTGGGAGGGACCCAGTGGGAGGTAATTTCATCATGGGGGCGGCTGCCCCATGCTGTTCTCATGATAGCGAGAGAGTTCTCATGAGATCTGATGGCTTCATAAGGAAATTTTTTTCCCCCTTTGCTCGAAACTTCTCTCTCCTGACACCCTGTTAAGAGGTGCTTTCCCCCATGATTCTAAGTTTCCTAAGGCCTCCCCAGCCATGTGGAACTCTGAGTCCATTTAACCTCTTTTCTTTATAAATTACCCAGTCCCAGGCATTTCTTCATAGCAGCATGAGAACAGAGTAATACACCCTTGATCTTGAAACTCTGACACTGCTTTATCTATGTAGAATAGCTTCTAAATAACAGTACCTACTAATCATGCCTTAAACTCAGGATTCTTTTCCATTAGAATATTCTGTATTCTGACTATATAACATACCAGTGCAATCACTCACTGTTTCATACATTAATAAAAAATTGTTGGGGAAAAAGAGTCAAAGTTCAGCTTGGAGGTAATTGCAAGAACTAATGAAAGTAACAAAAATTTTAACATATTTACATCAACCCAATTCAAGGAAAAAGTGAAAATCATACTCTCCCATCTCTGAAAGATTATAGAAACTTATATTTAACATTTGATGAATTACTCAGTGAGAAAAACAAGGATATTTGCTACTGCTAACTAAATTAGTTTTAAATTAATTCAAAGAATAAAAAGAAAAGACAGTTTTCTAAATAGCAATAGAAAAGGTGAGTATAAAACAATGCACAACAGGATCAAAGGGTTTCTGGAGACTTATGAAAAAGATAACGACTATAGTCATCTATTCAGTGGTGTTTTTCAGTTCTTCAGCTAGCCATTGTCATGAAAAAGGCAGCATACCAGTCTGGATACCGTGTGGGGCCTAGTCTGAGAACAGGAGAGAGTTATTTTTTAAGCTCTCCTCAGCCAAACTGAGGAAGGCTAGTTCCTGACTGGACCCAGGTTAATACCGTAATACTCTATTGAGGTTGAAGTCAGTGACTATAAGAAGATTATTGAGTTTTGAAGCCAAAGCTTCAAAAAATAAAAGAGTTTGTCTGTGAATCTCAAGTAAATTTTTGAGAAGTCATGACACAGGAACACAGTTTTAAAAAGAGTATGATTTGCTTACAGCAGCTTTACAATAACACTAAGAAAATCTCAGAGCATCTGTTCTTCAACTTCTCAATCCTCATTCCCCACATCATTCTTCCCTCAAAAAGTTAATTTTAATGTTTATTAATGAGACCAAACAGCTAGAACACATTTTTAAAAAGATCTCCACGCACTTCTGATTTATTCTCAACTCAACTTTGTTCAATTACTGTCCAGCACTTTTTTAATGATTTTCTGTTTAACCACGTAGTGTGTATAGAGGGTGCTGTGGGTTGAATTATGTCCTCCATAAAAATACATTAAAATTTTAACCCCTAGAAGCTGTGAATGTGACCTTATTTGGAAATAGGGTCTTTGCAGATGTAATCCGAGGTAAAATGAGGTCATGCTGGTTCAGGGTGAGCCCTAAGTCCACTTACTGGTATCCCTATATGGAGAGAGAAAAGATATGAAGACAGAAAGCTCAGGGAAGAAGGACATGTGAAGGTGACAAAGACTGGAGTTATGGTGCCACAAGCCAATGAATAATATACTAAGGACTGCCAGTAAGCACCCGAAGCTAGAAAAGGCAAGGAAGAATTCTTCCCTAGACCCTTCAGAGGGAGCATGGCCCTGCCAACACCTTCATTTTGAACCTTATAGTCTCCAAAACTGTGAGAAAAAATATTTTTGTTGTTTAAGTCCTCTAGTTTGTGGTAATTTGTTATAGCAGCCCTAGGAAACTAATACAGGGGAGTAGAGGTTAACAGTTCTGAACCTGCTTTATACACATATACTGGGGACTGAGCAAACAAGTAAATGGATGGTAGATGGTGGGAGGCTTCTAACTGTTGGAGAGGGAAGTTATAGATAAGCAAGGGAGAAGGGCTAAAATAAATCCTGCTGTCTGGATTAGAGTCAAAGACATCATAAGGAACTCATGTTTGGCTCAATACTAATACTGACGAATAAACAGATAAATAATTCTAGATATATGTGTAATTATAGGCTAATATACATACCTGCATAACCTAGCCCTGTCCTCTGAAAGGGCCTAAAAGCAATGACAACCCAATAATAACAAGTATGTCCAGCACCCAGATCTTGGTTTCTGAATACCACTCTCCAATAAAAAGAACCAGAGCTCATTGGTGAAATGATTGATTCAAGGGCTAAGGTAGGACTAAGATGAACATGGAGCATTTTGTGGTACCCAAAAGTAAGGAAGTGCTCAAAAAACAAAAGGATGGCAGGGTGGTGTCCATGTCAAAGTGTCACCAGAACAACCCTGAAAGAGTTCTCAATGGCAAAATTTGAACAACAAAATATTATTACTAAGTCATAATCAAAAATATAAAACAAATTCACATAGTCTATACTGGCATAAATAAATGATTGAATAAATAAATAAATGAGAGAGAAGAGGTTACTTTCTTACAGAAGAATTCCAAATCATATATATAAGTATTTAGTCCTCCAGGATGTAGAACTTAGTGCCTCTAACTCCTATTTTCAGTGTGGGCAGGACTCAGTGACTTGCTTCCAAAAAATAGAGTATGATTTTAAAAAATAATAGAAATGGTAAAATACTGTTTTATAGAAGAGAAACCTGGCAAACATATCTTAAACAAGCGACCAAGGTAAATATCACTAATGATGTCGAATTATTATTATGTACCCCTGATATGATATGATGAAAAGAATATTTTCATATCTGTAGTATTCTTGCCAAAAACTTACAACCACAGTCTAATCATGAGAAAAACGTAAGACAAATCTAATTTGAAAGACATCTATAAAATATTTGACTAGTTCTCCTCAAAACTGTTAAGGTTATGAAAAATAGGAAGAGAATGAGAAACCGTCACAGACCAGAGGAGATTAAGAAAACATTACAATTAAATGTAATGTGGTGTCCTGGATAGGAACCAGGAACAGAAAAGGACATTCATAGAAAAACTGGTAAAATTCTAATAAAGTCTATGGTTAAAAAATAAATGTGTACATATAGGAGTCCACATTGATATAAATAAACAATTAAATAAATGGAAGAGAAGTGGAAGTGGCAAATATGTCTTAAAGAAGAATTCCAAATAATAAATTCACATATTCTCCCTCACAGGAGATGGAGTTAAACCCTCCGTTCTTGACTTGCCTCCAAAGAACAGAATATGGAAAGAAGAAAATTTGTTACTATACAATGCAGAGAACTTGCAAACCTAGTACTGCCTGTCCCTGAGCCTTCCTGGGGGTGTGTGTGTGTGTGTGTGTGTGTGTGTGTGTGTGTGTGTGTGTGTGTGTGTGTGTGTGTGTGTGTGTGTAACGCCATGGAGCAATCTCAGCTCACTGCAACCTCCGCCTTCCAGGTTCAAGCAATTCTCCTGTCTCAGCCCCTCTGCTGTAGGTGGGACTCAGGCACTTGCCACCAGGCCCAGCTAATTTTTGTATTTTCAGTAGAGACGGGGTTTCACCATATTGGTCAGGCTGGTCTCCAACTCCTGACCTCAGGTGATCCACCCACCTTGGCCTCCCAAAGTGCTGGGATTACACATGTGAGCCACCACACCCAGCCCTGGGGTTTTTTTAATGATATAAATTACCAGTCAAGCTACCAACCTGGTCCTTAATTTCTCTGGTGCTGGCTGAAAATTCAGCCCCTTGGGGTCTGCTAACAAACTTTCTTACATATTGATCTGACACCATTTCTAGAATTTTGTCATTTTCTCCCTGCCTTCAGAGGGTTGTCTTTTTTAAAAAAAAAAAAAATCTTGAGTTTTAGTGGGATGCCATAAAGGAATAAAATTGAGGCGTGTGTTCAATTTGCCATCTTACCCTAGAAATTTGCTTGAATTTCTTTCTAGGTTGGTACATATATAGCTATCTAATTAGTTTTAACTGGATATACCGTGGAATAACCATTTCTCCATTGGTAAGCATATAAAGTTGTTTCTTATTTTTCACTAAACGATGTTGCAGTGAATATTCTTATACATATTATCTTTGTTCATCTGTGTGCCTGTGCTGAGTTAAGAACATATACACTTTATGTAAGTTATTCATGGTTAAGCTATTTAGCCTCTTAGTCTCACTTTCCTCATTTGTGAAATGCAGAGAACAGTGCCTACCTCATATGGTTATTGTGAAGATCAAATGAGTTAACATGTGTAAAGTGCCTAAAACATAGTAACAGCTATATAGGTTGTTAGTTATTGTCAAATTGCCCTCTGTAAAGGCTATCAGTTATTACAGAGCCGCATTTCCCACCTTTGCTCAAACCCTGGTTATTACAGTCTACTTTTTGAGAAGGAAGGGCAATTTTATTGGTAAAGACAGCATCAGCACCTCATTGTCTAAACTGTCGCTTCACTGTGACTGAGTTTGATAATCTTCTTTCCAATGTTTATCGATCAATTTCCCTTTTCCCCATGCTTATGTATATCTTTTACTTATAAATTATGAAATATTTGAAATGATATACATGAATATCTGTTTTGGGGTATCATCCTTATTTATTTGAGCTTTTTCTTCCCAAAGTGAAAGCAAGTTTATTAAGAAAGTAAAGGAATAAAACAATGGCTACTCCACAGACAGTGTAGTCCTATGGGCTGCTGGTTGCCCATTTTTATGGTTAATTTTTGATGATATGCTAAACAGGGGGTGGATTATTCATGCCTCCCCCTTTTAGACCATATAGGGTAACTTCCTGACGTTGCCATAGCATTTGTAAACTGTCATGACGCTGGTGGGAGTGTCGCAGTGAGGACAACCAGAGGTAAATCTCGTCGCCATTTTGGTTTTGGTAGGTTTTGGCCAGCTCCTTTACTGCAACATGTTTTATCAGCAAGGTCTTTATGACCTGTAGTTTGTACTGACCTCCTATCTCATCCTGTGATGTAGAGTGCCTTAACCGTCTGGGAATGCAGCCCAGTAGGTTTCAGCCTCATTTTACCCAGCTCCTGTTTAAGATGGAGTTGCTCAGGTTCACACGCCTCTAACATTTCCCCCCTCCCTTTTATAAGAGAACCCTTAATCCTAATGATTGCAGAGGGATGAAGATCCATCTTCTTCTGTAACTTCTTCAGGCTGAATAGGGGCAATGATATTCCTGCCTAAGTATGAGGGTCTCTTGCACTCAGGGTAGAGAGGAGCTCAGTCAGAAAGCACCAGTATGGTAAGGTCCATTCATAACTCTTTAAGTTTCAACAGAAGGTAAATGTTTAATTTATGAAAATATTCAGTAAGCTTCTCCTATATTCCTACACAAAGAGTGTAACAGCAATATATTCCACAAGAGTACAGCAAAATAAGTAAAGTTATTCCAAGTAAACTAAACTAGAAGGTTTTCCATGAACTGGACAACTGTTGAAACCAAGTTGATATGGGGTTGCTAGCTGATTGCAATGTGCCCAGAATTAGAATACTGATTCAGATTTTTACATTACCCATCCCACTTGTTCTGAGCAACAGTCAGAGATCACCTGGTTGGTTCACAGGAATTAGTTCACAGGGTTAGCCTACGTTGCAGAAACAAACTTAAAAACAATTAATGAGACTAGAATTTAACAACAAGTGTACCATAGTTTTTGAAACATAGTATTTCCCTCTCCAGTTTCTCATTTTTACTAAAGACAAATTATGGTAAGACCGATATGCTTTATAAAACTTGGCCTGATTATTTGCATAAAGTGCAGCAAGAATAATTATTTTTGACATAAGCTCTTTTTTAAATTGGCTTTGATGGAACTCTGTTCCATAGATGGAATTTCAGATAAGACTTTTTTTTTTTTTGGAGATATAGTCTCGCACGGTCACCCAGGCTGGAGTGCAATGGCACAATCTCAGCTCACTGCAACCTCCACCTCCCACGTTCAAACGATTCTCCTACCTCAACCTTCTGAGTAGCTGGGATTACAGGTACCAACCACCAAGTCCAACTAATTTTTTGTATTTTTAGTAGAGATAGGGTTTCACCATGTTGGCCAGGCTGGTCTCGAACTCCTGACCTCATGATCCACCCACCTTGGCCTCCCAAAGTGCTGAGATTACAGGTGTGAGCCACCACGCCAGGCCCCAGATAAGACTTTTTAAAAGCCAAGCCCAGCCTTGGGTTTCTACCCTCAAGTAGCTATGAATTGGGTAAATTCCTCTCCTCTTGGGGTCCCAAGATAACTTGGAGCTCCTGGACCTGATATGAAAGTGACACTCTTTACTTACCACAGGTCAGAAATCCTGTTTACAGGGACTGTGTAGGCAAGGAATGAGGCCATTTCCTCAAGGGACTTTAATTGGCTCTGTAAGTCAAGTTTAATTTCTTAAAGGAAAACACACCATTCCAGTCAAAGCCTTGGTAAAATAACCAATTTACCCAATTGTGTCCTGTTACAAAAGAAAACAGATTCTTACTGCACCTATGCAAATAACCATATTGCCATAAGTTAAGAATACTCGCAACTAGTTTCCAAATTCTGGAGAAATCAGGTAGAGAGAAATAAATATGCTCCAAAGTTTGTTCATAGGAGTACACTCAACTGTTAAAAGCTGTAAAAAGCTCAAAAGAAGTTTTCTTGACTCTGAAAAACAAAGGATCAGCAACATTTTAAGCAAAGTTAAAAAGACTAGGCTTCTTCAGTTTAGTCCATGTCGTTATCTTCTGTTGGATAGTTATGAACATTTTAGCTCTGAGAGTTCTGAAAGTTTTTTCCTTTATTCTGATGTCATAATCTCCAAAGCTATCAGAAAACTTGCACTTAAGAATACCTGCTAGAGTTCTATAGTTGATTATAAATCGCCTTCTAAAGAGGACTAAAACAAGACAACAATTGTCTGTGGATAGTAAAAAGTTTTAGGCCAGCCCCTATTAAAGCCACAGTAGATAAGGAAATTTGGTTGATTTTGTGGTACACAGAATTTTACATAACAATTATAAATAACATACATTAAGTCGTATTAGAATTATAGGAGTTTCCCATAACTTTGGAACATATTCCAATAACACATTTATGCAAATATAGTACAATGCAAACAAAACACCATTTTACATTTGATAATGCTTCCTGTATGACTTTTACACCAAATAAGCCAAATTTCACCTTTATATTAATGTTCTATTAATGTTAAACCCAATTCTTAATAAAATTTTACAAATATGTCTATCCAATCTTAATCGGTTTGACCATAAGGTAAGATTCTTATAACCCTTTACATTTTTTTGTGAAAGAGCAGATTAGTGCTCTAAGAAAAACCTGTTGTGCTTTTATTCCAATGTTTAATTTACGGAAAAACTGAGTAACACCCCTTTAACTTTAGTCAATATGTTCACACACAGAATCTCTCTCAATTTTTTTCACACCATCCACAACTGTTCAAACTTTTAGCTTTATTCTAACTTAAAATAATTATTTAACTCTTTAGGCAAAAAAATCCACATTCCCGTGCCTTCTTATAATCTTTTACCAAAAGTACATTTTATTTTCCTTACACACCTTGCATATAGAACTGTTTCTTCAATAGTCTCAATTACATGTTACGATGTTAACTTTTACGTTTGGTGAAAACCCTGGTTAGTAAGCAATTTTAATTGTGTTACTAGGACACACCAGGCAGAACTGCAGATAAGAACTGACTCTCCAGCATAGCTAGGGGGCATGGCTAACTCCACATGTCCCCAGGCCTTATCTAGAATCTAATGGCTTTACGGTAGGCAAATTGAACAGTTTCCAAAGTCAACCAGTTTGACCTTAAAGCATTTAGCAAATCTAATATCTGACCTTAATTTAGACCAAATGTCTACATTTTCAAGACATTTTATTTTACCTATAATTTTTAAAACTGTCTTTATTTCCAAAAGATTACTAAAGTCACGTGAACAAAAAGGCATTAAAGTTTCCATTTTTCTGAAAAAATATTAAGTGCTTATTTTTCTAAGCCAATCAATTAGAGCTCTTTTATACATAAACATACAACACATATTAATACATAGAAGATTCCGCACGTGTAAGATTTTTCATTGCCAGTTTCTTAAGTGGATTACTGGCTTCAGGGTGGAGCCCTTGGAGGAAAAGCGCCAGGAAAGCATGCGTTTCTGGGGCCAAATAAGCAGCTGAAGGCAAAGACAGATCCCCAAAATTAAGGGTGCCATTTTATGCTGGTTCCTGGATCCCCAAAAGGAGGGAAATACTACAGAAGACAGTACAGTGCTTCTACTCTGCATTTCACTGCAAGGCAACCCAAAGCCAATCAGCCCATTTCGTCATCAGCCCATCCTTCATGGAAGTCTCATCTCCCAGTGGGGGGTGGGGATGTTTCCTTATCTTCCAGGTGGCCAAGAGCATACTTCTCCGATCCAAGTGTGCAAAGAGTCAAGTGCCCCTCCCTAACTACTATTAGCCATCCCTTAAAGTATATTTCCTACCTAGTTATTACACACCAAAGCTCTCTCATAATGCAAAGTAATTTCTGATACCCCCAAAACTCAAAACTGTCAGATAACACAATGCAAAACAGAACACAGCCTTTGATTTTGAGAGGGATCCATGTGCTTTTAATTCCTGGGGTTTCATGAGGAAAAGAGGGTTTTTTCCCTAAACAGGGTCTGTGGCACTTCCTCTGTTTTTCCCAAGGGGTCTTAGGCTACCAGAAGTTATCTTAGGGCCTCTCATGTGTGCATTAAGAGTGGAAAGACAGCTGGGCACCATGGCTCGGGCCTGTAATCCCAGCACTTTGAGAGGCCGAGGCGGGCAGATCACGAGGTCAGGAGATCGAGGCCATCCTGGCTAACACAGTGAAATCCCGTCTCTACCAAAAATACAAAAAAAATTAGCCGGGCATGGTGGCACACACCTGTAGTCCCAGCTACTTGGGAGGCTGAGGCAGGAGAATCGCTTGAACCCGGGAGGCAGAGGTTGCGGTGAGCCAAGATCGCGCCACTGCACTCCAGCCTGGGCAACAGAGCAAGACTCTGTCTCAAAAAAAAAAAAAAAAAAGTGGAAAGCCAAAAAACAAATGGAGAAAAATAATTTAGTCGACTGAAAAGAAAAAACCTTTTTCCATAAAAACAAGTTCCAAGAAGAGAAAAAAATAAAGGCCTGTTAAATATATCTATAGCTTGTCTATCCATTTTTACGTAAGCTGACTTTTAACCATAGTGCTCTTTAAAAAAACAAATCCTTTCAGATCTCTTATTACCTGACTTTAGCCTTCCCAAATGACCAATATTTCTAGCTTCTGAACTTTATCAAAGGTGCTGAGAGAAAGGAAAATTTAAGACAGTCCACGGAGGAGAAGAGAATAGACAAGATCACACAGATATTAAACCACAGAAATGACTTACTTCCTAGTGGAGAACTGAACCAGGACTGCCAGTGTGAAAGTGCAAAATGTCAGCTACTGAGCTACATACAGTAAGGGGTAGTCCCCATTTCCTTTCCCAGAACAAGTCTACAGTAGTTAATTTTGAGCTTGCAGAGGCTTTTAACTATTTAATATGATTTTTAGAGCTAACTATGACATGAACCCTAAAATTCCTGTTCCCTGGAAAGGGGAGACCAAAAGTACTGCCACGTGGTTACAAGGTCAAGCTCCCAAGGACGTAAAACAAGGTGGAGACTTCATCCAGTATTTGTGTTTGTTTCAGAGACCTGCAGCCAAATTTGTTACTGACCAGCTTGCTGGTTATTCTTGAAAAGCGGGCTTACAGGTGTTCTAAGCCCGTGTTTTATCCTGAAGTACCCCTCAACACAGAAAAACAAATTCATAGCACAAAATACACCAGCTTAAGACTAGCCTTAGAATTCTTTTTTGCATTAATCAAAACTTTACAGAGGAGATAAACACTGATTTTTTTTTTTAACCATTCAGTCAACCGTTTGCACAGAGAGAGAGAGAAGCCTGAAATCTGACTGGTAAGAAATTCTTACTCTTTTGCCGGCATGCCAGGCTTCTGGGTTCCCTTTCCCTGAGCAGCCCTAGTGATCCAGCTTGTGGCACCATAGCCATGGGGGCCAAGCTGCATCATAAAGGAAAATTTTTTTTTTCGTTCTGGCCAGAGCAAAGTCCATGTGATAAAAACAGAGACATTAGCCACTCTGCTTAGCACCCAATATCAAACTGGCAAGGCTTAAATTTGTCCCCAGATGGGCCCCATCATCTTTAATCCAAACTCCGACTTAAGAGTTTCAACACGTGGTCTCTGGGCAAGATGGTCACCCTGAGTAATAGAAAAGATAGGAAAGGAAAAGTAGAGAAGGAAAGTATTGCCTGTGGCAGGGTGGGGAAGGTGAACAGCTTAGGGAGGCCAGAGAAAGACCCACCCATTGCAGCAACACTGAAAAGTTCAGGCGGCTGTTTCTCAGTACCAAAGAGATCTTTTCCAGCCAGTCTCATCAGCTCTCATTTCCCCTTTTAGGGAAGAAAAACCTCCCCATGTCCTACGATCCTGTACATGCCTAATCCTGCCACCCACAGCCATAGCAAAGAGTGCAAGGCAGATTAATCCAAAGAGAATAGCAGTTAACATCCAATAGTGACGAGAGGGGACTCTAATCCTCCTAAGTTGGGCCTCTAACCCAAGGTCAGTCAAGCATCCTTGCCTTTTATTAAGAGGGGCTCCAACCCACTGTGTCTTAGGAGAGACTCTAACTCCCCTAAGTTGGGCCTCTAACCCAATCCCATCCTTTACCCAGGTACCCCACTACTTACCCAAAGTTGTCCAATCAGTGCTGCATCTATTTCCTTTGGGTCGGGGGTCTCAATATTGTCCCTTTTGTGGTTCATGAGAAAGATGTTACTAGACCCCACCACTTACCCAAAGTTAGCCTTTGGGTCAGGGGTTTCTGCAGTATAGTCCCTTCTATGGTCGCCAGAAATATGTTACAGGAACGAGGTCCTGATCCAGACCCCAAGAGAGGGTTCCTGTATCTCGTGCAAGAAAGAAGTCAGGGCGAGTCCACAGTGCAAAATGAAAGCAAGTTTATTAAGAAAGTAAAGGAATAAAAGGATGGCTGCTCCACAGCCTACAGGAGCTCTTTAGGCACTAGAGATACTATTTCCTGGTCAATTATATTACAAATATTTGCTTCCAGTATGTGTCTTTTTTATTTTGCATCTTTTGTCAATGTTCAATTTCTTTAAATTTTTATTAAATGTTTTGTGACTTAAGAACATTTCTGCTGGGCACGGTGGCTCACACCTGTGATCCCAGCACTTTAGGAGGCCGAGGCAGGCGGATCACGAGGTCAGGAGATCGAGACCATCCTGGCTAACACGGTGAAACCCCATCTCTACTAAAAATACAAAAAATTAGCCAGGCGTGGTGGCGTACGCCTGAAGTCCCAGCTACTCGGGAGGCTGAGGCAGGAGAATGGCATGAACCCGGGAGGCAGAGGTTGCAGTGAGCGGAGATCGCACCACTGCACTCCAGCCTGGGCGACAGAGCAAGATTCCATCTCAAAAAAAAAAAAGAACATTTCTGACCTAAGAATATAAAATTAATCTCTTATCTCCTAGATTTTTATGATTTTTAAAAGAAATCAAAAGCTCTTTATTCCATCTCAAATCTGAGGTAGGGATCTACTACCACATTTTTCAGGCCTAATACTTCCCTGCTGCTTTAAAATGCTGTCTTTATATCATGTATTAAATTTCCATATACGCATGTGTTTTAAAAAAGTACTTAAGTTAATATGCTTGCTACAGAAATGTGTTATACATATAAACATGTATGTATGTATATGGGGGTATTTTTGCCAAATAGTGGAACAGAAATTCTAGGTTTTTGTTTTATTCTCTGATTTGTTTGGCTCATATACCATAAATTGGCAGGGATTTTATTAATTATGTGTGTTCTTTCCAACACAGAAAAAAGGCCCCCATAGAAGCCTTCTTTACTCTTAAATGCCCATGGAGATCAAACCTAATCCTAGGCTTATCTTAATGGCTAAATCTCCTTGGAGAATAAACTAATTCTAGGAGCTTCAGGTGGTGTGAATTAGACTATGTGAATCATTTCAAAATAAAAATTATTTTTTAAAGAAATCCAATATATAGATGTTTTTAGGAAAAGAAAGCAAATCATAAAACATGTATGGGATGATCAGTTTATTTAAAAGCCTGTGTGTATGTGACTAAATGAACAGCAAAAGGTCTGGAAGAACATAGAACACATTAATAACACTGGGGACCTCTTGAAAAGCAAGAATTAAAGAAGGAAACGAAATAAAGGGAGACTTCTTTTTTTGCTCCATATAATTTTTCAAAATAATTGTATGTGGAGTCAAATTTTTCAAATCCATGAATAATATCTGAAATATGAATTTGCTTTTAAAACAATATTCATCTTTATGCTCTTGTAAATGTGTATTTATTACCTTTATAAATCAGAAAAAATAAGAAGAAATACATAATAGTAGTTGACATTAAGGACAAGTTTGACAATCTCTTTTTAAGTTCTTTTTCTCTTCATTTTCTTTTTCACTTACACCTATATGACAACAGGACTTCTGGTTCAAGATCACTGCCTGAGTATACAGACATATATTCCCTCCCTTTCAAGACCCAGTGAAATGACAAAAAGTAAAGCATGGAAACCACACCAATGAACAATATGGGACCATCAAGCAAAAGAGATCAGAACAAAATTCCTGACAATAGAAAACAAAGGGCGTTAAATATTGAAGTAGAATGTACACTACAACCTCAGAAATACCAGGTACAAAACCAGGATTGAAAAAAAAACGTAGGTGGAAACAGAAACCTTAACTGACAGTCTACATATCCATTGTTTCATTCAACAAAATTGAACACCCAGGACATACCAGTTCCTGTCCTATGATACAAACAATAGGCAAACCCAAAATAAAGCAGGGGGCACAAAATTGTGAGGGTGGCAGTAGAAATATCACTTCAGATAAGTCAGGAAACATTTCTAGGGAAAAAAATTGAGAAGAGAGACGCAAAAAAAAATAAGGGAGCAAGGAAGGAGAACAAGAATCATTTCTTAAGCAATGATAATGATGTAAACTGTGCTAAGATATTTAAAAATCATCGTATTAAATCATCACCACACATAGAGTTACCTCCAATTTAGAGATTTTTTTAAAAAATGAGGCTCAAAGAAGTCAGAAATTATTCAAGGTTGTACAGATAACTATAATAAGTAATACCAGGTTTTAAATGCAGCTCAAGCTCTTCACCAAATTAATAATACTAATTTTATCTTCTGGGAACCTACACCCATGCTAACAAAAGCCAAGTGGGGTACCTAGACTTCTAAACTTGCCAGGCTGTAATAAAGCACCCTAAAACTGCCACCATAGTAGTATCCAAGAAGCCCAAGTAGGGAGATAGGGCCTTTACTCCTGTCCAGCAATATGGTGACACCTCTTCCCCTCTTCCCCTTAGGTGGTATCAGAGGAGGCCTGGTAGAGACTGAGGACTTTCACCATCACTGAGTAGTAACAAGGCAACCCACACTGTGGTGTCAATGGTGATAACCTGGGAATCCTGGACTTCCATCCCTACCCAGCAGTAACAAGGTGCTCTTCCTTATCCCTCAGGTATCAGCAAAGGCCTCACAGGAAATTGGGACTTCTATCACCACCTGGCAATAAGGAGACAGTGCCCCATAACTTTCAACTACAAGACCCAAAGAAATCCACCGAAAGGCACATGATAATTGAATTTCTGAAAACTGAAGAAAAAAAATATTGAAATCAGCCAGAAAAAAAAATGACAACTTATCAATGGGGGAGGGAGGGCACAAAACAATTCAAATGACAGCAGATTTGTCATCAGAAATCATGGCAGCCAGAAAGAAGAAGAAAAATATTTTCACGTGATAAAAGAAAAGAAGCATCAGACTAGAAATGTGTATCCAGTAAAATTGCCCTCAAAGAATCAAGGGGAAGTCAAGACATTCTCAGATAAAAGAAAACTAAGATAATTTGTCATTGGAGATCTAAAAGAATGAAGAATGACTATTGGAGGTTCTCTAAACAGAAAGGAAGCAATAAAAAAAGAAACCTTGGAACATACAAAGGAAGAAAAAACACAAGAAACAAAATTATGAATAAATAAAATAGGCTTTCCTTCTTCTCCTGAGTTTCTTAAATTATGTTTGACAGTTGTTGGAAGTGGTTTTAAATGTATGTAGAGGAAATATGTGAAACTCTTTTATCATAAATGAGGGACGGTAAAGGAATATAAAAACAGGTAAGATTTCTCTACTCCACTCAAAGTGGTAAAAAAAATCAGTAAACTGTGATACATATGTATATATAATATACCAAGAGCAATGTATATAAAAATACCTAAAGCAACTACTAGAAGAACTATACAAAGAGAGACACTGAAAAACACAGATGAATCCAAATGGAATTCTAAAAATGTTCAAGTAACCCATAGGAAGGCAGATAATGAAAACAGAAATGGAGAACAAATACAAAGACTTAAGTATTAACATATAAATAATTACATTAAATGTAAATGGTCTAAATATACCAATTAAAAGATAGAAATTGGCACAGCAGATTGATGAGAAACCACGTCCCAACTATGCCGTTACAAGTCATTTACCTCAAATAATAACATAGATAGGTTGTATGTAAAAGGATATAAAACATATGCCATGTGAACATTAATGAAAAAAGCGTGTTAGCTATATTAACATCAGATAAAGTAAGCTTTGGAGAAAATAAAATTACCAAAGACAGAGAGGGACATTATATAATGATAAAAGGGCCGACAGACCAAGAAGTAATAGCAATTCTAAATGTCTACACACCAAACAATGTGGCTGCAATATATAAAGCAAAAACACAGAAATAAAAAAATACACAAATCTATAATTATATTTGTAGACTTTCAAACACTCCTCTTTCAACAACTGATAGAAAAACTAGACAGAAAATCATCAAGTATACAGAACTCAACATAAACAAGATCTAATCAACATTTATAGGACACTCCCCCACTACAACAGCAGAATACACATTCTTTCCAAGTACCCACAGAACATACATCAAATATACCATACGGTGGGCCCTAAAACAAATGTCAACAAATTTAAAGGACTGAAATCACATGAAGAGTTTCTGGCTACAATGGAAAAAACTAGAAATTAATAACAGAAAGACAGCAGGAAAATCTCCAAACACTTTGAAACTAAACAACACACTTACAGTCCTGAGAAGCAAAGAGGAAGTCATAAGGCAAATAAAAAAAAAAACCACACTGAACTAAAATGAAAATATAAAATATCAAAATTTGTGGGACACAGCTAAAGCAGTTCTGAGAGGAAAATTTATAATAGCATATTTTAAAAGTGGCAAACGGCCAGGTGCGGTGGCTCACACCTATAATCCCGGCACTTTGTGAGGCCGAGGCGGGTGGATCATGAGGTCAGGAGATCCAGATCCTGGCTAACATAGTGAAACCCTGTCTCTACTAAAAATACAAAAAAAAAAAAAATTAGCCAGGCATGGTGACGGGTGCCTGTAGTCCCAGCTACTGGGGAGGCTGAGGCAGGAGAATGGTGTGAACCAGGAGGCGGAGCTGGCAGTGAGCCGAGACTGCACCACTGCACTCTAGCCTGGGCGACAGAGTGAGACTCTGTCTCAAAAAAAAAAAAAAGCGGGGGGGGGGGGGGGGGACTCTCAAATCAGTAATCTAATCTGCTAACAAGAACCTAGAAAAAAAGAAGAGTTCAACAGACCCAAAGCAGAAAAAAAGGAAGCAACAAAGAGCAGAAATTGCTGAAATTGAAAACAGAAAACAAATGAGAAAATTAATGTGATCAGGAGATGGTTCTTTGTAGAGATCAGTAAAATCAACAAACTGCTACCAAAACTGAAAAACAAGGCAGGAAGACACAAATTAACAATAACTGAAATGAGGCCAGGTGTGGTGGCTCACACCTGTAATCCCAGCACTTTGGGAGGTCGAGGCGGGCGGATCGCCTGAAGTCAGGAGTTTGAGACCAGCCTGACCAACATGGAGAAATCCCCTCTACTAAAAATACAAAAATTAGCCAGGAGTGGTGGGCCTGTAATCCCAGCTACTCAGGAGGCTGAGGCAAGAGAATCGCTTAACCCGGCGGGCAGAGGTTGCAGTGAGCCGAGATCGCGCCACTGTACTCCAGCCTGGGCAACAAGAGCAAAACTCCGTCTCGAAAAAAAGAAAGAAAAACAATAACTGAAATGAAACAGGAGACATCACCACATAGCCTGCAGACATCTAACAAATAATAAGAGAATGTTATAAACAATTCTACACACATAAACTTGATAATTTAGGTGAAATCAACCACTTCCTCTAAAAAACAAATGCAACGCATCCAATTTGAAACAGATAATTTGAATTACTTTATAACTATTAAGGAAATCGAATTCATAATTTTAAAATTTCAAAAATTAAAAATCTCTGGGCCCACTGGCCAGGTGCAGTGGCTCACGCCTGTAATCCTAGTACTTTGTGGGGCCAAGGCGGGTGGATCACCTGAGGTCAGGAGTTCAAGACCAGCCTGGTCAACATGGCAAAATCCTCTCTCTACTAAAACTACAAAGATTAGCCCGGCGTGGTGGCACACACCTATAATCCCAGCTACTCGGGAGGCTGAGGAAGGAGAATCGCTTGAACCCAGGAGTTGGAGGTTGTGGTGACCCGAGATCGCACCACTGCACTCCAGCCTGGGCAACAAGAGCAAATCTGTGTCTCAAAAAAAAAAAAAAAATTCTGGGCCCAGAGTGTTTCACTGAAAATTCTACCAAATGTATAAAAAAGAATCAGCACCATTCTATACAATCTCTTCCAAAAAATAAGAGAGAACATTTCCCCATTCATTTATAAAGGTATTATAGTATTAACCCTGATATCCAGAGAGTACCTGAGAAAAAAACTACAGGACAATATTCCTTATCGATACACGAAAACAATCCTTAACAAACTATAAACAAAATTCAGCAATATATAAAAAGAATTATATACCATGACCAAGTGGCGCTTATTCCAGGGATAAAAAGTTCGTTAAACATTTTTTAAATCAAGTAATAAAATGCACCACCATATCAACAAACTAAAGAAGAAAATCATAAATCAATTCATTGAGGAAAAAAAATTGACAACATCTAATACCTATTCATGATAAAAACCCTCTGCAAACTAGGAATAAGAAGTGCCCTCAAATTGATAAATGGTATCTACAAAAACCTACAGCTAACAGCTATACTACTGCTACTTAATAGTGAAAAGACTGAATGCTATATCTGTGTAATCAGAAACAAGGCAAGGATATCCACTTCTACTACTCATAAACATTGTGCTAGATTCTTCTAGTCACTGCAGTAAGTCAAGAGAAGAAAACAAAAGGCACACAAATCAGAAAGAAAAAACTCCTTATTTATAGACAATGTGATTGTCTACATTCAAAATTCCAAGGTATCTACCAAAACAAACTCTTAGAACTAATGCGTGAGTTCAGCAAGGTAACAAATACAAGATAAATATACAAAAAGCAAATGTGGCCGGGCGCAGTGGCTCACACCTGTAATCCCAGCACTTTGGGAGGCTGAGGCAGGTGGATCACCTGAGGTCAGGAGTTCAAGGACAGCCTGACCAACATGGAGAAACCCCGTCTCTATTGAAAATAAAAAAATTAGCTGGTGGTGGCACATGCCTGTAATCCCAGCTACTCGGGAGGCTGAGGCAGGAGAATTGCTTGGACCCCGGAGGTGGAGGTTGCAGTGAGCCAAGATCGTGCCATTGCACTCCAGCCTGGGCAACAAGAACAAAACTCCATCATTCATTCATAGACAGACAGACAGACAGATAGATAGATAGATAGATAGATAGATAGATAGATAGATAGATTTTTTTAAAAGCAAATGTATTTCTATATTATAAATGTATTTCTAAACTTATTTCTGTGTTCTATGTCTTAAAACTTGAAAATACAATATAATTTACAATCACTCCAAAAACATAAAATATTAAGTGTAAATCTAACAACATATGCATAGAAAATATTAAAAACTATACAACGCTGATGAGCAAAATAAAAAATCTAAATAAATGAAGAACATACCATGTTCATAGACTGGAAAACTCACCAAGAAAAGATGTTATTTCTCCCCAATCTGATAGCTAAACAACAAAATTCCTATCAAATTCCTAGGAAGACTTTTTTTGTATTCTTTTTTGTGCAAACACAATTTTTAAGAGTTTTACTTACAGTAGCTTGATTATTCTAAGCTTATTTTTCTCTTTCTTCCTTTTTTTAACCAAATACCCAGACTTCAATATTCTAAGCTTATACAGAAAGGAAAAGAAACTAGAAGAGCTAAAACAATTTGAAAAACAAAACAGTACACATAATAACTCTACCCAAAAAGTAAATGGGAAAAAAAAAAACCTCAGTCTATGTCTCACACTGTGCAATAAGGATTAATTAACTCAGCAAAAGTCTGGGTTTCCCACACCGTGCACGTTCCGAGAAAGATTTGGCCCTTGCCCAGCTCCTAGGAAGTAACCTCTAAGCCCTTGGAATGTCCAGCCTAGTAAGAAAGTCTTTCTTTACCTGGGGGTTTTAGGCCACTCCATATAGTCTATGCTAATAATGTGATTAATGGTGGGGGCCTTGGACCAAATGGTATCAGCTTGAGGGCTGCAGACGGAGGTCATCCATGAGGGCAGTCAACCACACCTACATACCGACCTACCAAAAAACCCTGGACACCAGGGCTCAGCTGAGCTTACCCAGTTTTCAATATTCCACATGTTCTCATACATCACTGCTAGAAGAAACAAACTGTGCACATGACTTCGCAGTGATAGAACGACTATAAATTTGGGTCTGGTGTCTCCTGGACCCTGTCCTTTGCTTCTTTTTCCATCACTGATTTAAATCTGTATCCTTTAGCTGTAACAAACCATAGCCGTAAGTATAACAACTTTAAGTTCTGTGATTCTTTATGAGAATCACTGAGTCTAGGAGAAGCCTTGGGGACTCCTAAACACACATATATAAAAAATTAACTCAAAATGGATCACAAATATAATAATAAAATATTTAAGAAAAAAATGAGAAAATATCTTCAAGATGTAGAACCAGGCAAAGAGTTCTTAAACTTGACATAAAAAGCACAAACCATAAAGGGAAAAAACCAGTACAGTGAATTTCAAATTTTAAAACTTGTGCTCTATGAGGCCAGATGTGGTGGGTCATGCCTGTAATCCCAACACTTAGAGAGGCAGAGGCTGGAGGATCACTTGAGCCCAGGAGTTCAAGACCAACCTGGACAACATAATAGGACCCTGTCCTTACAAAAAACAAAAACAAAAACAAAAGCCAGGAATGGTGGTACAAGCCTGTAACCAAAGCTACTTGGGAGGCTGAAGCAGAAGGATCACTTGAGACCATGATAGAAGGATCACAGTGAGCCATGATAGCACAACTGCACGCCAGCCTGGGTGACAGAGTGAGACTATCTTCAAAACAATGAAAAAAAAAAAACAGGGAGTATGGGAGGGAACCTGTGCTCTGTGGCCAGGTATGACGGTATGCACCACTACACTACAGCCTGGGCAACACTGCAGGACCCTGTCTTTAAAAAAAAAAAAAAAAAAGTCCAGGTGCAGTGGCTCATGCCTGTAATCCCAGCACTTTGGGAGGCTGAGGCAGGTGGATCACAAGGTCAGGAGTTCGAGACCAGCCTGGCCAACATGGTGAAACGCTGTCTCTAGTAAAAATACAAAAATTAGCCAGGCGTGGTGGCGTGCACCTGTAATCCCAGCTACTCAGGAGGCTGAGGCAGGAGAATCACTTGAACCCGGGAGGCGGAGCTTGCAGTGAACCATGATAGTGCCACTGCACTCCAGCCTGGGCAAGAGAGCGAGACTCTGTGTCAAAAAAAAAAAAAGGCTGAGGTAGGAGGGGATCACTTGAGCCCAGGAGTTCAAGACCAGCCTGGGCAATGTAGCAAGCTCCAGTCTCTAAAAAATAAAAATAAAAAAAATTTTAAAAATAGTAAAACCTTGCGCTTTGCAGGAGATACAATTAAAAGTGAGAGGTGATGCCAGCTGGGCTTCCTGGGTCGAGTAGGGGCTTGGAAAGCTGTAAAACTCACTCATTTCCTGCATCAGGGATTACTTCGGTTCTGGATAAATAATATTGAGGTATAATATATGCTTAAAATATTCCTAACACCAGGATTTACTTATATGTTTTCTTCCCCAAGAAAGCTATAAACAGCGAGAATTTTAGGTGTAAGTTTTCCTGTGTGCCCTCCCCCGAAACCAGAGTTAAAGAAAAGATTAACTGCCCATTTTTCTGTGATCAGTGGGCCTTATCTATCCTCCCAATTCCTTGTAAACACTGTTTGTAAGTTCTATAAGATCCTGCTTTTTTGCTGTGCAGCTGCAAGGCCATAAATCAGGTAAGCGTAAGTCGCAATTTCAGTTTTTCTCAAAATCTAAAGCATGTCACAAAATAATTTACTGCCTTTGTTTCTCGCTCCTGTACTGGAACATACTTCCCGCCTCACATATCTCCCGCCTTAAAGAGTTTAAAAGGCAATCACCCGAGCTAGCAGTGGCAACCCATTCGGGACCCCTTCCATGCTGTGGAAGCTTTGTACTTTCGCTCTGCTCAATAAAACCTACAGCTCATTCTCTCTCTTGGTCCAAGTATCTGTCACTCGCCATGGTCAGCCGCCACACCAATTCTTTGGCGTGGCTAGGCAAAGAACCTTGGGTGTTACATCTTAGTGAGCCAGCCAGGAGACTCCAGGAAGAGCATCCCAACTGCCACGCAGTGAGTACCCTCGGACCTCTTTTGCTTGCTATTCTGTCCCATCCTTCCTTAGAATTCGGAGGCTAAACACTGGGCACCTGTCAGCCAGTTAAAGGCGATTAGCAAGACCACTGGACTAAAAACACGAGTGTCAGCCTGGGAAAGGGCTCTCTGACAATCCCTGACCCTTTGGAGTTGGGAGCACTGGTTTGCCCGGAACCAGTTTTAAGTCTTTCACTTTCTGTAGTGGTCCCGAAGTACACCCGGGAGTGCTCAGCAAATGTCATGGTCTCCCAGATATCCAGGTTGAGACCATGGCCCCACCAGAGGCTCCCACAGCATGGGTTACTAAGCGTGAGACAGCCACATCTTCTGACTCCTGCGTCCTGGGTTCAAATAACTGCCGGTTAGATTTCTTTCCTCACCTGGTAAGCAAGATTATTCCCACTAGACAGGACCAAGAATCCCTATTTAGGAGACTTAAGTTTTTAAGGTGGTGTTCAGAAGTTCCTTGTTGATGGTGCCCTCTGGAATTTAGGCAGGTGTTGCCATCTGATGGCCACTTTGAAAGGCCAGTTCCCCACCATCGTGTATGGTCTCCCACATCAGGACAATTTGAAGACAGATCTGTAATTTTCATGTGGATGGTAGAGGCCCTAGGACATTTTCTTCATTGTTCCCCAGATGAATTTCCTTTTTTTGGTGCCTCTCAAGTATAATCTGTGGTGTATGGGTACGGCCCTTAGAGCAGTTGAATTGCTTTTTCAACCATTCAATCATGGATATTGGAAGAAAGAAAATATAGTCAATTGAGACACGGGATACTGGTACCACCTTAAGATGGGGGCTTACTCCTTTGATGGAAAGTGGGGACAAAAGGCTAGAGTGCAGCAGTTGTTCTCTCAGCCCTGGCCTAGAGGACATCAACCATCCCCTTTGAGCTTACTAAGCCTCCTGTCACTAATTCAGAGATTCCTCCTTGAAGGGCAGTTTTATGGCCAGGCCCACGTAAATTGGGCCTTGACATGCAAGCATCAGTGGTGCCCCCGACCCAGGCCTTGCCACCCCAGAACAGATAGGACGCGTTGGCAAAGGGACCACAATAAATCCAACAGTCCTCATGCCCCATCTAGTGGTCAATGGGTGCACGGCAGAGGGCAAGGATGATTTCCATTCTGCCGGTAAGCGTGGTTAAATCTGGTAAATGGAAGGCTCAAGGACGATCATGCGCTCCGAGCACAATTGGACTGGACCCTTGGGGGATGCCCTAAGGGGAAGATGAGTCCCTAAGACTAACCAGGGGTGCGGGCATACCTGTGTTTAAAATTCCAGTTGGGCACCACGCCTTCAAAACTGGACACTCCCTTGAGATGTATCCTGAATAACTGGGACAAGTTCGACCCTGAGACCTTAAAAAAGAAGCGACTGATTGTCTTCTGTACCAATGCCTGGCCACAGTACTCCTTACAAAATGGAGAAACTTGGCCCCCTGAGGGAAGTATTAATTATAACACCATTCTACAACTAGATCTTTTCTGTAAACGGGAAGGTAAATGGAGTGAAATCCCTTATGTACAGGCTTTCTTTGCCCTTCGTGACAATACTGCTCTATGCCAAGCCTGCAAGATTTGCCCAAATGACAAAAACCCACAATTGCCTCCATACTCAGGGCCTCCTTCCTTAGCCCCACTCTCTTCCCTCACTGACTCTCCTCCATCCAGCCCCACCAAAGTGTTAGAGGCACACCGAAAAGAAAACGTAAACTCCGCGAACCAGGCGCCCAAACTAAGTCCCTTACAAGCAGTAGGAGGAGAATTTAGGCCCACCCATGTGCATGTCTCTTTCTCACTCTCAGATTTAAAACAAATAAAGGCAGATACAGGGAAATTCTCGGATGATCCCAATAACTATATAGATGTCTTACAAGGGTTAGGACAGTCCTTTGATCTAGCATGGAGGGGCATCATGTTGCTCCTTGATCAGACCTTAAGTCCTACTGAAAAGGAGGGAGCTTTAGCGGCAGCCCAGCAATTTAGGGATTTATGGTATCTCAGCCAGGTAAACAGATCAAATGGCCCCAGAGGAGAAGGAAAAATTCCCCCACAGGGCAACAGGAGGTCACCGCTGTAGACCCTCATTGGGATACTGACTCAGATCATGAAGATTGGAGCCGCAGGCATTTGCTAACTTGTATCTTGGAAGGGTTAAGAAGAAGTAGGAAGAAGCCTATGAACTACTCAATGCTATCCACAATTACACAGGGAAAAGAAGAAAACCCCTCAGCTTTTCTAGAAAGGGTATGGGAGGCTCTAAGAAAGTATACCTCCCTAACTCCGGATTCCCTGGAAGGCCAACTTATTCTAAAGGATAAATTTATCACCCAATCAGCGGCCAATATTAGGAGAAAACTCCAAAAGTCTGCCTTAGGCCCAGAACAAAATTTGGAGGCATTATTAAACCTGGTGACCTTGGTGTTCTATAAAATGGACCGAGAGGAACAGGCCAAAAGGGAAAAGCAAGATAAGAGAAAGACCGCAGCCTTGGTCATGGCTCTCAGACAAGCAAACATTGGAGGTTCAGAAAGGACAAAAAATGGAGCAGGACAATCACCTGGTAGGGCTTGTGATCACTGTGGTTTGCAAAGACACTTTAAAAAAGATTGTCCAACAAAAAACAAACTGCCCCCTTGCCCACGTCCAATATGCCAAGGAAACCATTGGAAGGCATGCTGCCCCAGATGATGAAGGCTCTCTGGGCCAGAAGCCCCCAGCCAGATGATTCAGCAAGAGGACTGAGGGTGCCTGGGGCAAGCGCCAGCTCATATCACCCTCACAGAGCCCCGGGTAAGCTCAACCATTAAGAACCAGGAAATCGATTTCCTCCTGGACACCAGCACGGTCTTCTCAGTGTTAATCTCCTGCCCTAGACAGTTATCCTCAAGATCCATTACCATCCAAGGAATCCTAGGACAGCCTGTAACCAGGTATTTCTCCCACCTCCTCAGCTGCAACTGGGAGACCTTGCTCTTTTCACGTCTTTCTTATCATGCCTGAAAGTCCCACACCCTTATTAAGGAGGGACATATTATCCAAAGCTGGAGCTATTAACTACACGAATACGGGGGACAAATTACCCATTTGTTGTCCCTTACTTGAGGAGGGAATCGACCCTGAAGTCTGGGCAATGGAAGGACAATTCGGTAGGGCAAAAAATGCCTGTCCAGTTCAAATTAGGCTAAAAGACCCCACCACTTTTCCTTATCAAAGGCAATATCCCCTATGGCCTGAAGCTCATAAAGGACCAGAGGATATTATTAGGCATTTAAAAGCTCAAGGCTTAGTGAGAAAATGGGACAGTCCCTGCAACACCCCAATCCTACGAGTACAAAAACCAAATGGTCAGTGGAGACCAGTGCAAGACCTCAGAATCATCAATGAGGCAGTAATTCCTTTATATGCTGCTGTACCCAACCCCTAAGCCCCGCTCTCTCAGATACCAGAGGAAGCAGAACGGTTCACTGTTCTGGACCTCAAGGATGCCTTCTCCTGCATTCCCCAGCACACTGACTCCCAGTTCCTCTTTGCCTTTGAGGATCCTACAGACCACACATCCCGACTTTCGTGGATGGTCCTGCCCCAGGGGTTTAGGGATAGCCCTCATCTGTTTGGTCAGGCACTGGCCCAAGACCTAGGCCAATTCTCAAGTCCAGGCACTCTAGTCCTCCAATACGCAGATGACTTACTTTGGGCTACCAGTTTGGAAGCCTCACATCAACAGACTACTCTAGATCTCTTGAATTTTCTAGCTAATCGAGGGTACAAGGTATTTAAGTCAGAGGCCCAGCTCTGCCAACAACAAATTAAATATCTAGGCTTAAACCTAGCCGAAAGAACTAGGGCCCTCAGCAAAGAACAAATTGAGCCTATACTGGCTTATCCTCGCCCTAAGACATTGAAACAGTTGCAGGGATTCCTTGGAATCGCCGGCTTTTGCCAACTGTGAATCCCTGGATACAGTGAGAAGGCCAAGCCACTCTATATTCTGATAAAGGAGACCCAGAGGGCAAATAACTCATCTAGTAGAATGGGAATCAGAGGCGGAAACAGCCTTCAAAACTTTATAACAGACCCTAGTACATGCTCCAGCCCTAAGCCTTCCCACGGGACAAAATTTATCTTTATATGTCACAGAGAGACCAGGAATAGCTCTTGGAGTTCTAAGTCAGACCCGTGGGATAGCCCTACAACCAGGGGCATACCTAAGTAAGGAAACTAATGTAGTAGCAAAAGGCTGGCCTCACTGTTTATGGGTGGTTGCAGCAGCGGCCATCTTAGTATCAGAGACTATCAAAATAATACAAGGAAAGGATCTCACTGTCTGGACTACTCATGATGTAAGTGGCATATTAAATGCTAAAGGAAGTTTGTGGCTCTCAGATAACCACCTACTCAAATACCAGGCACTAATCCTTGAAGGATCAGTGTTTCAAATATGCACATGTGCAGCCCTCAACTCTGCCACTTTTCTCCCAGAGGATGGGGAGCCAATTGAGCATAACTGCCACCAAATTATTGCCCAGACTTATGCCGCCTGGGAGGATCTCTTAGAAGTTCCTTTAACTAACCCTGACCTTAACCTGTATACTGATAGAAGTTCATTTAGGTACAAAGGGCAGGCTATGCCATAGTTAGCAATGCAACAGTACTTGAGAGTAAGCCTCTTCCCCCAGGGACCAGCACCCAGTTAGCAGAACTCGTGGCACTTACCTGAGCCTTAGAACTGGGAGAAGGAAAAAGAATAAATGTGTATACAGATAGCAGATATGCTTATCTAGTTCTACATGCCCATGCTGCAATATGGAAAGAGAGGGAGTTTATAACCTCTCAGGGGACACCCATTAAGTACCACAAGGAAATCATGAAATTACTGCACGCAGTGCAGAAACCCAAGAAGGCGGCAGTCTTACACTGCCGGGGTCATCAAAAAGATGAAGGAGAAGCAGCAGAAGGAAACTGCCGAGGAGATGCTGAGGCCAAAACTGCTGCTAAGCAGGACTTCCCTTTAGAAGTGCCCATGGAAGGACCCTTAGTATGGAGCAACCCCCTCCAGGAGGTTAAGCCCCAGTATTCCCCAAGCGAAACAGAATGGGGACTCTCATGGGGGCATAGTTTTCTCCCCTCAGGGTGGTTAGCGACAGAAGAGGGAAAGGTGCTCATACCTGAAGCCAGCCAGTGGAAAATACTTAAGACCCTCCAACAAACCTTTCATACAGGTTTTGAAAGTACCCGTAAGATGGCCAAATCCCTATTTACAGGGCCAAACCTTCTCCAAACTATGCGGCAGGTAGTCAAGGCCTGGGAGATGTGCCAAAGAAATAATCCCTTGGTCCATCATAAGGCCCCTCTGGGGGAACAAAGAATAGGGCACTATCCTGTAGAGGACTGGCAGTTAAACTTCACCCACATGCCTAAGTCAAGAGGATTTCAATACTTGTTGGTCTATGTTGATACCTTTACAAAGTGGGTGGAAGCCTTCCCCTGCACAACAGAGAAGGCCCAAGAAGTAGTTAAAATCTTACTTCATGAAATAATTCCTATATTCGGACTTCCCCCAAAGCTTACAGAGCAACAATGGTCCAGCTTTTAAAGCTACAATAACTCAAGGAATTTCCAAGGCACTAGGAATACAATATCACCTTCACTGTGCCTGGAGACCACAATCCTCAGGGAAAGTCGAAAAGGCAAATGAAACACTAAAGAGGCATTTGAGAAAGTATCTCCCATGGCCACTCTCTTGCCCATGGCCTTGTTAAGAATCCGAAATTCCCCTGGAAATTTGATCCAAAATCAAAGGGGGCTCAGTCCATATGAAATGCTGTATGGATGGCCTTTTCTCACAAATGACCTCCTGCTCAATCAGGAAACGGCCAATTTGGTCAAAGATATAATAACTTCTCTAGCAAAGTATCAACAAAACCTTAAAACTTTACCCAAAGGGTATGACAGGAGAAAAGGGATAGAGCTGTTCCAACCAGAAGATCTAGTAGTGGTCAAGTCCCTCCCCTCTACCTTCCCATCTATGGATCCCTTGTGGGAGGGACCATACTCAGTAATCCTCTCTATCCCCACTGAGGTTAAGGTGGCAGGAGTGGAATCCTGGATTCACCACACCCGAGTTAAACCTTGGACACCCCTTGAGGAACTTACAGGACTATCAGCTCAGGAGTCTGAAGATCAGCCAGACCAGCCTTGATACACCTGTGACCCACTTGAGGCCCTGCTTCTCCTATTTCGGAAGGAAGCATCCCAGGCTAAAAAGACTCCTGCAGTTAATCCTAAAGAAGAAAAACTCATCTCTACCTAATAGAGGATAAGCAGAAAGCCTACATGGATCTTTGACATCTCTCCTTGCTCTCTTTAATGGAGTCCTTATACTGTTTCATCATATTAAACAGTATACTAACCATACCCTTTGCAGTAGGATTATATACTGTAGCTCCTGCCAGGACAAAAATCCTGACCACATCAACCTTTTTTCTATCGTCCTTCCTTTTAACAATTTACTCCTTCTTCCCTCCTCCTTTCTACTACCGCTCCACCTACAGAGCACCATGACTCCCTTTATAAGGATCTCCTAAGCTTCTTTTAACTCTCCTAAGTATTCTTTCTGCCACCTCTTCATCCCTCCCCAACTGCACTTGCTTCTCTAGTGCATACTCTCCTCCCCTTCCCAGAAACACTGATGTAGTCTACTTCGAAAGGATATTGTTTAAAACTAAATCAGGGTTTACTACCCACACCTATATGAGAAAGGAATGTTATAGTGCTGCTTCTCTCTGCTCCCACAATGGCCATACATATCACCAAGGACAAATGACCCAGTCCAACTGTCCCGATGCCCTAGGGACTACCCAATGTTGGACATATTACACCCATGTGGGTATAACTGATGAGAGAGGTGTCCAGGATAAAGCCAAAAACAACATGTCCAACAAGTAATTAAAAACTTGATCCAACCATCTAACACTCCAAGTCCATATAAGAAACTAGACCTTTCCGGGTTACAAAAGACTCTTGACTCTCATTCCCATCTCTAGAGTCTATTTAACACCACATTCACAGGAATGCAGGAGGCCTCTCCTAACAATCCAACTAACTACTGGATGTGTCTTCCCTTGCGTTTCCAACCACATGTCCCAGTAGTCCCTGTCCCAGGACATTGGAACCTATCCACCTCAGTCCTAAACACCACCGGGATAATTGGCTCCCCAGTCACCAATCTGCCAGCCACACAGGCCTCAAATCTCACATGTATAAATTTTAGCATGACTCCCAATAGAAACATCTCCCAAAGTCAATCCTGGATACCAGTGACCTCAGGTTTCACCTGTCTAACTCCAGACATCTTTTTCATCCGTGCTAACATAGCTTATTGATGTCTAAAGGGCACCCCAAAAGAGTTATGCTTTCTCTCATTTCTAGCACCCCCATGTCCATTTATACCGAACAAGAGTTGGAAAGTCTCCTTATACCCCAGTCCCGCCACGCCCGAGCGCCTATTCTCCCTTTTATGGTAGGAGCCAGAATACTGGGTGGGCTTGGGACAGGAATTGGAGGTATAACCTCCTTCACCCAATTCTATTATAAAATATCACAAGAATTAAATGATGATATGGAATGGGTTGCCAATTCCCTGATGACCCTACAAAGCCAGCTTAATTCTCTGACTGGGGTGGCCCTCCAAAAACGAAGGGCCCTAGACTTACTAACAGCTAAAAGAAGAAGAACCTGCCTCTTCTTAGGAGAAGAATGTTGCTACTTTGTCAACCAGTCAGGAATTATTGCCGAAAAAGTCCAGGAGCTAAGGGAATGAAGAGAACGTAGAAAGAGTGAACTCCAACTCTCAGGACCCTGGAGTATATTTAACCAATGAGTACCTTGGCTTCTCCCCTTTCTAGGCCCTGTAACAGCCATCTTGCTATCACTCGCCTTCGGTCCCTGTATTTTTAACCTCCTTGTCAAATTTATTTCCTCTAGGATAAAGGCCATCAAGCTACAAATGGCCTTACAAATGGAACCTCAAATGAATTTAACTCAAGCTTCTACCGAGGACCCCAGGATCAGCCCACTGGTCTCTTAACTGGCCTAGAAAGTTCCCCTCTGGAGGACAATACAACAGCAGGGCCCCATCGTCGCCCCTAACCAGCAGGAAGTAGCTAGAGCAGTCATCGCCCAGTTCCCAACAGCAGTTGGGGTGTCCTGTTTAGAGGGGGGACTGAGAGGTGATGCCAGCTGAGCTTCCTGGGTTGAGTAGGGGCTTGGAAAGCTGTAAAACTCACTCATTTCCTGCATCAGGACTTACTTCAGTTCTGGATAAATAATACTGAGGATATATGCTTAAAATATTCCTAACACCAGGATTTGCTTATATGTTTTCTTCCCAAGAAAGCTATAAACAGCGAGAATTTTAGCTGTAAGTTTTCCTGTATGCCCCACTCCTCCCCTGCCAAAACCAGAGTTAAAGAAAAGATTAACTGCCCATTTTTCTGTGATCAGCGGACCTTATCTATCCTCCCAATTCCTTATGAACATAGTTCGTTAAGTTCTATAAGATCCTCTTTTTCTTGCTGTACAGCTCCAAGGCCACAAAACGAGTAAGCATAAGTCGCAATTTCAGATTTTCTCAAAATCTAAGGCATGTCACAAAATAATTTACTGCCTTTGTTTCTTGCTCCTGTAACATTCTTCCCGCCTCACGTATCTCCCGCCTTAAAGAGTTTAAAAGGCAATCACCCAAGCTAGCAGTGGCAACCCATTTGGGACCCCTTCCACACTGTAGAAGCTTTGTACTTTCACTCTGCTCAATAAAACCTACAGCTCACTCTCTCTCTCAGTCCAAGTCTCTGTCACTCGCCGCAGTCAGCCTCCACACCAATTCTTTGGCGTGGCTAGGCACAGAACCTTGGGTGTTACAAAAGGATAAAAAGACAAGATACAGAGTGCAAGAAAATATTTGCAAACAATGTATCAAACAGAGTAGTATCTAAAATATATAAAGAACTCTCAAACTCAACAGTAAAGAAGAAAACTTCTGGGCACAGTGGCTCATGCCTGTAATCCCAGCAGTTTGAGAGGCCAAGGTGGGTGGATCACTTGAGGCCAGGAGTTCAAGAACAACCTGGCCAAAAGGTGAAACCCCATCTCTACTAAAAATAGAAAAATTAGCCAGGCATGGTGGTGGGTGCCTGTAATCCCAGCTACTCAGGAGGCTGAGGCAGGAGAATCACTTGAACCTGGGAGGCAGAGGTTACAGTGAGACAAAATCCCGCCACCGCACTCCTGCCTGGACAACAGAGCAAGACTCCATCTCAAAAAAAAAAAAAAAAAAAAGGAAACAATACAATTAAAACACAGGTAAAAGGCATGAAGAGACATTTCACTGAAGAAAAAAGAAAACAGACAAGTGGGAAAATAAGCATATGAAAAACTGGTCAACATTACAGTGATTAAGACCTGGTTTTCAGGCCAGCATGTGAGAAGCCTGAAAGTCATTATCTAACAAGTAAAAAGCTGAACAAAGTGAAAAAGCAACAACTCTTCTTAGATCCCAAAGAGAACTGAGGTCACAGTGCAAACAGCTGCTCCCAAAACAGAAGAGAGCAACATGGCAAATGCATAGAATACTTATTAGAGCTTGAAACTTGTGTGGGACACAGCACCTAGGTGGGAAAACTTGAATTGTATTAATTGCTGGAGGCTGAGTATGAAGAAGTCTGAGAGTTAAAAATTCCAAAACGACCCCGTCATAGGGAGACTACCAGACTTTTACGAGTTTTACTTCCAGGAGTTTGACCTGGTTCTCACAGTAAGTATCAGAGAAAAATCCCCTCATGACTCCAGAAAAGGGAAGATAAAAGGGTCCATTTTGAAATATACCAGAACATTCTATTCTTAATAAGGTCTGCCCTCAGGAGAAACTATTTAACCAGAGCCTAAACTCTTTGTAGTTTTAACAGAGCCTAACTTACCTTGGGGAAGAGAAATAACCAACTCCAGTCAATTCTAGTCTTCCGGGTGGTTAAAGGGAAATACCCAACTAAAGCTCCCTGTAGCCATCCTGTCCCACTCAAGTTAGTAAAAACAGAAAAAAACTGAGAAGCATCTGTGAAGTTACAACCCAGGGGCACCGGCTCACTAAAACACTGAGGCCAAATCGTAGGACACTTCCCCTCCCCACACACCTTACCACCACATTACTAAAGGTCTGCTCACCAGTTTCTTTTACCCAGTATATCACGATCAGCTTTCAAAAAATAAAAATAAAAAGTACAAGGCATACTGTAAGACAAAAAAAAAATAGTTTGAAGAAATAGAGCAAGCTTCAGGACTAGACTCAAACACGGCAGGGATATTGGAATTACTAGACCAGGAATTTAAAACAACTATGATAAATAGGGTAAAGGCTTTAATTGAAAAAGTAGACATCTTCCAAGAACAGACGGATAATGTAAGCCGAGGGATAAAAATTCCAAGAATCAAAAAGAAATGCTACAGATCAAAAATACTCTAATAGAAATGAAGAATGCCTTTGATGGGATCATTAGTAGACTGGACTTGGCACAGAAATCTCTGAGCTTGAAGATATGTCAACAGAAACTCTTAAAACTGAAAATAAAGAGAAAAAGGCTGGTAAAAATGGAACATAATTATTTAATTAAAAAAAAAAGGAGAAGAAGGCAGAGGCTGCAGCCAGCCAAGATCACACCACTACACTCTAGCCTGGGCAACAGAGCAAGACTCCATCCAAAAAAACAAACAAACAAACAAACAAACAAACAAACAAAACACATTATATCCAAGAATTGTGGGACAACTACAAAAGGTATGCCTTACACCCTTCACAAAATTTAACTCAAAATAGATCACAACCCTAAATGTAAAACACAAAACTATAAAACTCCCAGAAAATAACATAATAGAAAACCTAGATGACATTGGTTATAGCAATGATTTTTTAGATAAAACGGCACAATCCGTGAAAGCAACAACTGATAAGCTTAACTTCATTAAAATAGAAAGCATCTGCTCTGCAAAAGACAATGCCAAGAGAATAAGACAAGCCACAGAATGAGAGAAAATACAGTAGGCCCTCCATATCCGCAGGTTCCACATCTGCAGACTCAACCAACCGTGGATCAAAAATATTAACAATAAAAATAATCAAACTTTAAAAACAATATAGTATGGCAACTATTTACACAGCACTTACATTGTATTACGTATTGTAAGGAATCTAGAGATGATTTAAAGTATACAGAAGTAAGTGTGTAGATTATATGTAAATACTACACTATTCTATATAAAGGACTTGAGCATCCTCAGATTTTGGTATCAGGGGTCCTGGAACCAAGCCTCCACAATACCAAAGGATGTCTTTATTTGCAAAAGACATGTTCGATAAAGGCCTCTCATCCAAATATACAAAGAACTCTAAACTCAACAATAAGAAAACTAACAACCCAATTAAGAAATGGGCTTTATAAAGACCTTTACAGAGACCTCATCAAAGATGATATACAGGCAGCAAACAAGCATATGAAAAGGTGTTCCACCTCATACATCATCAGGAAAATGCAAATTAAAACAACAAAATACTACACATTTATTAGAAAGGCAAAATCCAGAACACTGACAACACCAAATGCTAAGTAGGATGTGGAGCAACAGAACCCTCATGTATTGCTGGAATGCAAAATGGTACAGCCTCTTTGGAAGACAGTTTGGTGGTTTTTTTACAAAACTAAATATACAAAATTAAATATATAGAAAACTAAATATACTCTTACCACATGATCCAGCAATTGAGCTCCTAAGTATTTAGGCAAGAGAGTTGGGAACCAAAATAAAAGTCCTAACCCTTCCAACAGACTACTGGACCCTCCTTTAGCTAAAAGACCCCAAAATTTTAAGTTAGCAGCCATGGCAAGACAGTAAGCTGTTCATGATCCATTTGCTTCCAACCCACTTCTCTCCTTTCTAATCACTGGATTTTCTCAAAAGCCAGTGTGAGAAAACAAAAGTCCAAAAGACCCCTTCGTTCAAGTCATCTAAACACACCCCCTCCTGTTTTTATAGTTTCAACATGACAACTATTTTAGGCCACAAAGATTTTCTTCTTGATAAGTGGCTTTTGGAAGGGACTGGTTCTGGCCAGTCACCTGAGGATGCAGTTTATGGACTTCTTCCCTACATTTCACCTTTTACATATAGAACCTAACTACAATGCATTTAAATATTAAATCTCCACCTCAAAGTGATTATGGGAGGTATTTTACATATGAGTAAACCTAAAACGCATGTGTGTGGGTCTCCTTCATGAATATTCATGGTTCCTTCTGTAACCTGTTGAATATAGCTGTATGCCTAGCCAATCATCAGCATAAGTTCTTATCTTAAACCCTCACCTTACTGGACCCCACTCTGCCTGGAAATGCCTCTCAATTTCTGCTGAGACTATGCCTCCCAGCCTGTCAGAATGGCCTATACAAGCTGCAAACCTTTGTGAGAAATGAAGCTCTCCTTTCCAAATCTATGAACCTCATCATTCTTCAGCTGACAGAGTTGAAAGCTGACATCCACACAAAAACCTACACACGGCTGTTTACAGCAACTTTCCTCATAATTGCCAAAACCTGGAAACAACCAAGATGTCCTTCAGTAGGTGAATGTTGATAAACTGTGGTACATCCAGACAATGGGATATTACTCAGCACTAAAAGCAAATGAGCCATCAAGCCATGAAAAGACATGGAGAAACTTAAATGCATATTACTAAGTGAATAAAGCCAAACCCACAGAATATACAACACCAAAAGTGAACCCTAATGCAGGGGTCCCCAAACCCCAGGCCACAAACCAGCACCGGTCAGTGGCCTGTTGGGAGCCCAGCTGCACAGCAGGAGGTGAGTGGCTGCAGGTGAGTGAGGGCAGCTGAGCACCACCTCCTGTCAGATCAATGGCAGCATTAAATTCTCATAGAAGCACAAACCCACTGCACATGCAAGGGATATAGGTTGTGCGCTCCTTATGAGAATCTAATGATAAATATAATGCAATGCACCTGAATCATCCCAAAACCAACCACCCCACTCCACCCTGGTCCGTGGAAAAACTATCTTCCACCAAACCAGTTCCTGGTGCCAAAAAGGTTGGGGACTGCTACCCTAATGCATGAACACTGGGTGATAATAGTGTGTCCATGTAGTTTTATCAATTGTAACAAATATACTACACTAGTAGGAGATAATGACATTGGAGGAGGCTGTGCATGTGTGGGGACAAGAGATATACAGGAAATCTCTGTACCTCCCAATGAATTTTCCTGCTGCTCTAAAAAAACTGCTCTAAAAAATACAGTCTATTTTTTAAAATGAGACATCACTACCACAAGGAAATACCATTATACTATCAAAATGGCTAAATTTTTTTACACTAAGTGGTAGCAAAGATAAAAAGAAAACTAGATCACTTATACATACATTGCTGATGGAAATGGTACAGTCACTCTAGAAAACTGTGTGGCAGTTTCTTTAAAATCTAAATATGCTACTACACAATCCAGCTACTACACTCCTAGGCATCTACTCACCCAAAGAAATGAAGACATAGGTTCACAGAAAAACCTATACCCACATGTTTATAGCAACTTTACTCATAATAGTCAAAAACTGAAAACATCCCAAATGTTTTTCAATAGGTAAATGGTTAAAGTGTATTCTCTCCAATACCACCATTACTGAATGCTACTCATCAATAAAAAGGAATGGACTGTTGATACATGTAACAACTGGATGAAAATCCAGAGAAAAAAGCCACTTTCAAATTCCAGTTATGATTCCATTTATAAAGTATTCTTGAAAAACAAAACTATAGAAATGGAGAGTAAATGGCTTCCAAGAGTTAAGAGATAAAGGAGAGGGGGCAGAGAGAGAAGTGGGTGTGGGAAACATGAGGTATGTGGAAATGTTCTGAATCTCAGCTCTATCAATGTCAATACCCTGGTTACAACACTATTATTTCTTAAAACTGTATATAAATCTATAATTATCTCAAAGTAAGAAGTTTAGTTAAAAAGATGAAGGAAAAACTCTTATGACTAGAGGGACAATTTTCTTTTTTTGAGATGGAGTCTCGCTCTGTCCCCCAGGCTGGAGTGCAGTGGCACGATCTCAGCTCACTGCAAGCTCCGCCTCCTGGGTTCACGCCATTCTCGTGCCTCAGCCTCTCAAGTAGCTGGGACTACAGGCGCCCGCCACCACGTCCAGCTAATTTTTTGTATTTTTAGTAGAGACGGGATTTCATTGTATTAGACAAGATGGTCTCGATCTCCTGACCTCGTGATCCGCCCACCTCAGCCTCCCAAAGTGCTGGGATTATAGGCATGAGCCACCGCGCCCGGTCGATTAGAGGGACAATTTTATTTGATATACAGCAACACTGAACATTATTAAATATTCAAACACTATAATTTTCAGTATGAAACAATAAAACATATCCCCTGAAAATTCTTGTACCACAACCACTCTTCAAAGATTCATATATAAACAATAAGAATTTTAGCTCACCTTCCACGCTATCAGAACAGGAAGTTCCAATGCCAGTGTCTCCACTGTCAGAAGCTATACTGTGTCTCCTGATATGGTTATTTCGATGGTTAGATGGAACAGTTGTGGCCTGCCACAATGATTCATTAGCAGGTAGCCATGCTGATGAATAATCTGGGCCTAAAAAGGGAAATATGTAACAGTTAACACATATATCTGAGTAGGCAGAAGATTTTTTTTTTACCTTGTGGAAAATACACATAGGGTATAAAAGGTATAAAAGGTTCTTTTCTGCCCAAAATAATTTAAAATGATCAACAAAATTAACCAAATAAATGTATATATCACACATATATCAATTAAGTGTGATTACATAGCTTCCTCTAGCTGAAGAACTCTGTTTTCTGCTTCCGGGCATTAAACTTTTAAAGACGTACTGCTGTGTTATTAAAAATGTTGGAACTATCCACTTATCTTCAAATGTCAGTACTCTGCTCTAGAATAATTGATAGGTGGCATCTGTGATTATACATACATGCGTTAGCTGAAAATCAGGGCTCAGGAAAATTCAATAATAATGCATGATAATATAAATAGGATATCCACATGGAATATGAAAACAATCCATTTTTTTCTGCTATATATCTACTAAATTTTTTCTACAATCATCACTTAAAATTTTTAAATTTTACATTATTTTATTTGAATTATTTCCTTAATTATTATTTAATAACAGTTTAATAGCACAGCATTTTCCTACTCTTAGCTTGATTTGTCTTTTTTTTTTTTTGAGACGAGTCTCGCTGTCACCCAGGCTGGGTGGAGTGCAGTGGCGCGATCTCTGCTCACTGTAAGCGCTGCCTCCCGGGTTCACGCCATTCTCCTGCCTCAGCCTCCGGAGCAGCTGAGACTACAGGTGCCCACCACCACACCCCGCTAATTTTTGGCATTTTTAGTAGAGATGAGGTTTCACCGTGTTAACCAGGATGGTCTCCATCTCCTGACCTCGTGATCCACCCGCCTCCGCCTCCCAAAGTGCTGGGATTGCAGGTGTGAGCCACCGCGCCCAGCTAGATTTGTCCTTTTAATTTAAATACTTTTTAGCTAATTTAAGGTTTTTCAATGTTCTTTCAATGTTTATTTCCACTTACTCACTTTTACTTAACTTTTATTTGACTTTTTCTGTTTTACCCATCACTTATTTTATTGTCTAGTACAGTGCTACTCAAAGGATATCAATGGACCAGTGCCAATCTGTACTATTTGTTACAAGTTAGATGCAGAAATAAATAAGCATCTAGAAATGTTATTGTACTATAATTAGAAAGAGAAATTTTAAATTCGTTCAACTTTACATAAAACCTGTAGAAGCACAAATCTTTACTAATGCCTAATACAGTAAGTCTCAATTCAGGGCTTACAGAATTATTCATAAAAGTTAAGAAGTTCCCCTACATGAATTTTAGGCTCTCATTTCAATGACAGTTCTTAAAAAATTAATAAGCACATTACAGATTATCTGAACAGCCAACTTAAAACATTATTTCCACATAATTTCAATGCTCCCGTATCTGTATAGCAGCCTTAAAAAGATTTATCACATAATTCAATGTCCCCATCTGTGTTTTGCGGTTGAAATAGCAGTTGCTTCTAAGTAAAGAGCAAATGACATCACTGGGTATTTACCATTATTTGAAAGAAGATAGCTTTACAGAATTATTCATTGATACCCTATTGAAACCGGCATGCAAGGAATGCCTTCTGGCAGTTTAAACATAAGGGTAACAAAACAACAAACGTGCATAAAATTAATTATACCAGTTTTTTTAACCACACTTTTAGGATTAGTTGTTCTCTATGTCAGTATTAAAATCAAAATATATAAACAAATTAATAAAACCAGACCTAAAGCTACCTCTATCATACTAAGCTCAACATTAATGATTCACTTTTAATAAAACATTGTCACATTATTTTATTTAATGCATTTATTTATTTAAATGCAATTTATCAATTAAATTTAGGCTTTATACATGTATAAAGTATATAAGCAGCCTTAAAAGCCTTATACATTTAAATTAACAAATCAAATTTGAAAAACAGTGGCCAAAGAGACACTTTTACCAGCTTTGAGGTTCAGAACAACCACTTAAAGCTTTGTAGATTCTAGACTTCTCTCAGAATGAGACTTTTCAATTCAAGTGATTCAACACTCACATTAAAGCACCAGAAGAAGGTGTTCTGTCACCAGATCTATTCTAATTCTGATCTGTGGTCTGTAATCTATACCAAAATTTTTTTTCAATCAGGTAACATCCCATCTAAATGAGCTCAAAGTCCTGCCTAAACTATTATCAAAAATGGCAACCAGCCTAGTCTCACAAGTGCAAACCTATTAGCTGGATAATTATTTTTTTTTAAGAATACCCAGCAAATAGCATAAATAGGCTGGGACTATATGTAAATGAAAAAATAAATATAAGAAACGATGCCAAATCTCACTAATGGTGGGAGAAGTGAAAAAGACAATAAATTTTCTGGATTTTTAAAACTATCAAGTTGATAAAAGAAAGACTGGTGTCAACCAAGTGAGGGGAATGTTCGTATATTTTTGTGGCCTTGCAAATTGGTACAACCTTTCTAAAGGGCAAACTGGAAAGTGGTATCTAAATGTCAATATAGACATGACCTTCTACTGAGAATTTATCCTAAGGAAATATCAGACAATTACAAATAAATATGAGTATAAGGACATTCCTGACAGCACTGCTTAAAGTAAATGCCTATGAACAAAATATAAACTGTTAATTAGTTGATAATGTTTAAGTGCTAAAAATGATTTTATCAACCTATTTTTTAACATGGAAGAACATCCAGAATATATCTAGTGTGTATGGAAGAGAAGCATTTTATGTAGCTATATACATAATATGATTCCACAGCTGGAGAAGAGTTTGTACATTTACATACATGGAAGAAGCTTTCAGGGAGCTCTATATCTAAATGCTAACACTGACTATGTTTTACTAAAGGAAGAAATACATTACAGGAACATTTACTCCATCATTGGTTATTATTATTATTCAATCTACCAGTTTATGTGGGGAAATGCTGAAAATTATGCATACTGATTTGCAGATTACATCAACATTTGATTCTGAGATTAGAAACCAGCTATAGCTCAAGATACGCAAATTCAGATTCCTAGTAACAATTTTTACAAAAGCTGCATAAAATGGCTAGAATTAAAACCCTTGCTTTTAGGCAATATAACTATTTTGAGCAGTATAAAGTCATGCTCCATTAAAGCCTACAACACACCTCCACCCTATTGATTGTTGACAAGTCTTGGCCAATAAACCATTTGTGGATTAAAAGGCAATAATCATTCTCTCTCTCACTCTCTCTCCACTCACTCACTTTCTCACTCCAGTAATGGGGAGGAAAGCCCACTGTACATATTAATGCTATGGTGTTATTATCACAAGCTAGGACAACCTTCAATCATTAGTCTTGTATAATTAACTATTGCCAGAAAAACAGTTCAATAAAACCTTTTTCTGTCAAGAGCCAGATTGTAAATATTTTCAGTTTTGTGGGTCACTCAATCTCCGTCTCAACTAGCCAATTCTGCCACTGTAGTCTAAATCAGCTGTAGACAATAAAATGGATGTGGCTATGTTGTAATAAAACTTTATTTACAAAAACAGGTGACAAGTCCAATGAAACCTGGGGGCCAGTTTGCAGACTCCTGAGATGTGGTAAAAAATCATTCTAACTGAAAAGAGTCCCTAAAATTCAACTGATTCATAAGTAACTACAGCCAGCATATTAATTCATTTCTTTATTTGGAAGAAAAGTGAGCTCATCCTAGAGTACATATCAGCAAGCCAGGCTGCCCAGAATCTGACAATTCATGAAAGCACTACTGAGGTTTTTCAAGGATTACAAAGACAAATAAATGTCAACAAGTGTTTTAGGTTTCTTTTTCCAGAATAAATGATCTCAGTTTATCCATATGGTATGGAACTCCTGGACAATGTCAAATATGTGTGATGGTTAATTTTACATGACAACTTGACTGGACCATGGGGTGCCCAGATATGCAGTCAAACATTACTTCCGTGAAGGTGTTTGGATGAGCTCAACATTCAGATTGGTCGACTGGATAAGGCAGACTGCCCTCCATAATGTGGGTGGGCTTCACTGAACCAGCTGAAGGCCTGAACACAACAAAAAAGCTAACCATCCCCTAAGCAGAAGAGAATTCTTCCTGCCTGATCCCCTTTGATTAAATACACTAGTACACTGGCTTTTTCCTACCTTCAAGCTTGAACTGATCTCTTCCTGGGGCTTGAGCCTGCCAGCCTTCAGACTGGAACTATGCTATCAACAATCCCAGGTCTCCAGCTTGCCAAATCACCTCACAGATCTTGGGACCTGTCAGCCACCATAATCTCATGAGCCAATTCTTAATTAATTAATTAAATGCTATTGGCTCTGTTTCTCTGGAGAACTTCAATACAATATTGGGAAAACTAGAAAAATTCTAATCTTGCCTACAGATATGAAAAAGTGGGGACAGCCTTCTATTTAGAAAAGAACAATAGTTGTAATCCTCAATTTCCATTACAGTATTTCAATATCATCTACTCAATATGATACCTATTCCACAGATTTCCAAAGCACATCAGTACAATCTCAACTATCTGTTATCTAACTTTTATACAAAAAAAGCTATAAGAAATGACAGAGAAAATGGTCTAAGACATGCTATCATTCCGCCCCTCTAGAAACCCTAAATTCTATCTTTGAATCACAGAGCAGTACATACATA
This sequence comes from Homo sapiens, assembly GCF_000001405.40. Lineage (NCBI taxonomy): Eukaryota > Metazoa > Chordata > Mammalia > Primates > Hominidae > Homo > Homo sapiens. The sequence goes on from NC_000006.12 coordinate 118,637,269, forward strand.
CTTAGAGCCTTTTTATTTAGCAACTCAGGGAAATGATCTTCCTAAAATTTCTTTCAGTGTACTGCCACCTTATAAACTTGAACCTCTGACTTTTACAGAAGGACACAAAAAGTAAGCAAACCACATAAATCATCAAATTGTTGTCTAGGCCGGGCAAGGTGGCTCACACCTGTAATCCCAGCACTTTGGGAGGCCAACGCTGGCAGACAGCTTGAGTTCAAGAGTTTAAGACCAGCCTGGAAAACATGGCAAAAGCCCATCTCTACAAAAGAAAAAAAAAAAAAAATTCAAAAAAATGCCTCTGTGCATGGTGGCACATGCCTGTAGTCTCAGCTACCTGGGAAGCTAAGCTACTTGAACCCAGGAGGTGGAGGCTGCAGTAAGCCGAGATCATGCCACTACACTCCAGCCTGGGTAATAAAGCAAGACTGTCTCAAAAAAAAAAAAAAAAAAAAAAAGTTGTCTATATATTTAAGAAGTTAAAGGCAAACACTAAAAATATTTGCAGATATGGTATTAATGCATAATTATAAAGAGATCATAAGCAAACTAAAAATAAATAAATAAATACTAAATGGTTTAGTCTAAATGGACAAAGGACAAACCCCAAAGGGAAAAACACAAATAAAAAATTCTGAAAAATAGTCCAAGCCCACTGGTAAGCAAGTAGTATCAAATTCAGAAGACATGCTATTTTTCAGCTATCAATCTAGCAAAAATGTTAAAAGAACAAAACAACAGTGTTCCTAGATACTCCCATACACTGATAATGGTAATGTTAATTTATTCATTACAAAAACACAACCTTTTGATAGGCTATTAGGCAATATACATCATGTGTAGCACATGCCTGTAATACCAGCTACTCAGGAAGCCAAGGTAAGATTGCTTAAGCCCAGGAGTTCGAGACCAGCCTGGGCAACATAGTGAGACCGTCTCAAAAAAAAAAAAAGGAAAAGAATTAACTATATAAATTGATCTCCTCCCACCTGAACTAATTTGCCTTAACCTTTAAACATAACTATGTCTTTAAAAAGAAGATCTGGTATTGTATGTGCCTCAAACACTGAAGATGATTAACAAATGTCATGAAAATAACATTCTAATCTTTTAATTTAAACTGAAAAAATTCACAGTCTGAAAAGAATGACATGACTTGTCTTTAGACAAGTCAATCCAGAAGCACAATACAGGAAGAAGTACATGTGAAATATGCTGACCAGGTGATTTAATAAGGAAAATTTTCTCACAGAATAGTTACAAGACTATGTTACTGAAATGGGAATATTGATATCTAGTATGCAATATGCACTTAAAAACTCAAAATAAGGCTGAATAACCTCTGGCAATAATGTCTTACCTAAAGACAAAAGGACTGCTGTAAGAACAGCAAAGATCCCAAGAAACTCTACATTGGAACTCCTCCTTGGAAGACAATATGTTACATTTTTCAATACTAATTTTTTAATACTAATTTTAATTATTTTAATAGAATACTGAGTGCCTGCGGATAACATTAAAAATTCTGAATATTTCTCAGACAGGAAGATTAGCATTAAATAAAAAAGCAACCTATTTTACTTCTGAAGCTCTTTTATTGGAAGCAAAAATGCATACAGTATCAAGTATTCCACAGCATTTGAATATATATGTAACTGCACTGAGAACAAGAACTACTCTCATTGAATATTTTAATGACAGCTCTAAATTGAAGAAAATAAAAATAACACTACTGACAAAGCAGATTTATACTTTTAAATAAGCTGAATACATAATACAAATCGAGAATACAAATTGCAATGTTTTTCAGAATGCAGATTATCTGTCACCCATTAGTATGTTTTAAAATCAACTTGGAAACCAACACTTTCAAATAAAATAGTAGATAAAGCATGTTTACCCTTATATTACATAAGTAGCACGCGGTTCACATTTTAACATCTCTGAAATATTAACAAGTACTTTTGCACAAAGAACCTATTCTGCTGCTGGAATAACTCCACTCAAGCCAGCCTCTACTCTACTATCTTCTAGAATCAAGCATGTTTATGTTATTCTTCTACTTACATAGATCTGTGAGCCCCTTACGGCATATTAAATAAATTCAAACTCCTTAAGTTAGGCAAAGTTCTTCACCAATTGTCAGCTTCACTTTGCAACTTCTACCTACAAAAACTATCTAGCCACACTTACCTAATCACTTCCTCCAAACAGATGAGACTCTTTCATGACTCCAAGCTGTTTCACTTCTGCACCTTAAGAGTCCTAGTTCAGAATTAACTTGTTCTGTCTTCCCTGATTCCTCCAGGTGGCATTAAATACTTTGTTCACTCCCAATATATTATTCAAAATTCCAACAACATTTAATAAATTATATTAACCCATATGTATATGACTTTCTTCTCCCTCACCAAACTGTGAAAAATGAAAGGCAACTTTTTTTAGTGTCCAGTACCTAGCAAAGAGCTGCACACTTATACAGGGTCTCAATAAATGTAGTCATTATAACCACTGGATACCTAACAAATGTTCACAGAATAAAATTAGAATTTTGGAAGCCTTACAATTACAACTACAAAAATATCTTTGTGTTCAGAAAAAGGATTCAAACAAGCGTTTTGTTTGGTGGTTGTTGTCTGCTTATTTTAAAATCCAGGATATTTTAAACTATCCCTTGAGCCAGTATGCATTTAAGTATCTATTTAGAGATCAGTAAATATTTATCAATGCAGCTTTTTTTAAGGTAATTTTAAATAATTTAGAGATCTGATGGCCAACATTCCTAACATGGGAAAACAGTCTCCAATAGGTTAAAAAGACACAAAACTCACACAAAAAATTAGAACATTAAACGGTAAGAAAAAAACGTTCATATTAACAGTAGCCAAACAGAAAAAACCAACAAATCTGGAACTACACTGCAGAATATCTAGCTAAGATGACAGAAACATCACATAGTGTTATTTTCTCCATCCCAATCCTCCACTCCATTTCAGTACTATTTATCTCTAGGGTAAGTGACTCCAATAGTCTTAGTTTGTTTCTTTTATCACAGAATTACCAGTATAGCTCAGTGTGCACTGTGAAACCAGGCTACCTGGGTTCAAGTTCATTCTACCTCTTATTAGCAGTAAGTCCTCATAAATCACTTAACCTCTCTGTGCCTCAATTTCTTCATATGTAAGAGAAGAAAAAAATTATAGAATAGTACCTATATTATAGGGTTGTTGTGATCAATGAACATGTAAAGTTTTTTGTTGTTGTTATTGTTTTTGAGACAGAGCCTCTCTCAGTTGCCCAGGATGGAGTGCAGTAGTGCAGTCTCGGCTCACTGCAACATTCATCCCCCAGGTTCAAGAGATTCTCCTGCCTCAGCCTCCCAAGTTGTGCGGATTACAGGCACACACCACCATGTCTGGCTAATTTTTTAGGTTTTTTTTAAGTAGAGATGGGGTTTCGCCATGTTGGCCAGGCTGGTCTCGAACTCCTGACCTCAAGTGATCCGCCTGCTCAGCCTCCCAAAGTACTGGGATTACAGGCGTGAGCCACTGCACCTGGCCTGTAAATATATTTTTGAAAGTGCCAGACATATAATTAGGATCTCAATAAATGTTATTATTTTTATTACTGTCCATGCATAGAAATTTTCCAGAAGGATAACTAAAAACTATTAAAAATGGAGTGGAGGACTGACATGAAAGGTAGATAAAAAAGCTTACTTCACTTTAAGCTTTTCTGTACTGAGTCAACATTTTACTGAGCATGTGTAACTTTAATAATGAGAAGAAAAAAATCATCTGACAAATACCACATAACAATAATTCTTCTGCTCCTCATGAGGTACAGTACCCCACTCTCTTCCAAGTTTTTAACCTTGCTCTTTTCCCTCCCTATTTAATCAAGGACATCTACACTGTCACCAGCTTCTCTCTTAATATCTTACTAGCATGTTTACAACTACTTATCTCCTTCAAAACACAAACCCAATGCCCATCTCTCTGATAACCACCACTTTTTTAACATCATTCCAAGAGATTAAGCATAAGCTTTCTATCTCTATGATCTGCAAAGTGAATACATGCATGCCAGGGAGTACACGAGCCAATCCACTGGCAAGCTGCTGGAAGAAAAAAACTTGTTTATACTGAAAATTATCTTTAGGAAAAAGTAATGCATTAAATTTTGCTATAATATTTAACATACAGGTTAACACTAGTGCCCTTACTTGGATTATCAGAGCATTATGTTACATATATATAACATAAACGGAGGTGCTCTATACAGAGGGCTTGACGGTGACATCCTCCTTTGTTCATTTGATTTTTTCGTATGGGTATGCATTGCAGTTCATGGCTGGTTAAGCAGATTTGCATATCGATAACATTAGGTAGTTTTACTTAAACTAGCCCTCACAAAATGGATTTGTGGCTCTATATTACTGCAAAGAAACCTGAAGTTGAAAAACCTGAAGATAATACTAAAAATGTAAGTATAAACAAACAAGAAAATAGTCAAGCTGATGCCTCCCATGCACACACTTCAACATTCCTTTTGCAAGAGAAAAAAAAAAAATTACAAAATTAGATCTGACAGTAATATGTCACCTAGCATTTCTGTTTGAAAAAATAACCATTGATCCCCATAAGGGTAAAGATGATGCTTTCAAATGAAACGTTCAATATGTAGAGGGCATACTGGAAATCAACATGACTCTTGTATCTGCATATGCGAGTTGGAAAAAATAATTTTTAAAATATATCAACTGTATGTACCACTAAAAAAAAGGATGCCAATTAAATGACACCCTGAATTACATGATGCATCCATATATCAGAAATGCTAAAACATTTTTAAAGTACATTTTAAAATTGATAAAGTATAATAAATATTGCATACATAAAATAGGAGCATTTGGGTGAAATTTTTGCTGTTAGGCATGTCTAAAAAATAAGGAGTCCATTGGTTCTCTATGGTCTCAAAACATTTGCTATACCCTACCCTTTTTATGAAAGGTTTGTAAAATGTGTCAAAAAAATAAAAATAAACAACAGGTAGCAAAACGGGGAGGTGAATTGAGAAACTGTGCTGCTCCAATCCCAAAAGAGATCCAAAGATCTGCTCAGACATGAAAAGTTAGGTTCTAGCCAGAAGTAAAATTCTAGGCCAGAAGAAAGTAAGAATCAAGAATAAAGTAAGATCAGATTCCAAGATTGGGAATTAAACTTAAGCAGTCACTGAAGATGCTTTCACTCAGCTAAAATAAGGTTAGCAGCATCAAGTAAGTATACTTTCTCACATAAACACACTAGTTAAAAAATACCTACATTAAAATCTAGCTCAATCTAAGCTAATAGGCTTTCTTGGGTTGGGCACGGTGGTTCACATCTGTAACACCAGCACTTTGGGAGGCTGAGCAGGGTGGATCACCTAAGGTCAGGAGTTCGAGACCAGCCTGGCCAACACGGTGAAACCCTGTCTCTACTAAAAATATATATATATAATAAATTAGTCCAGCATGGTGGTGCACACCTGTAATCCCAGCTACTTGGGAGGCGGAGGTTGCAGTGAGCCGAGATCACACCACTGCACTCCAGCCTGGGTGACAGAGAGACTCCGTCTCAAAAACAAAAAAAGCTGTGTTCAAAAAAGCATTTTGGCAACTATTAGGAATAACAGCCACGTATTTAGTTTTTGGTAAGTCCTTGTTCCTGTTTAAAAACTGGGAAAATAAGGTACAGTTAACAACTAATGAGGCTGTTCATAAAACCACTACAAATATATACAACTTGGTATTTCAGACGGGCTTATCTTTGTCCTAGAACATAAGAATCATACACAATACATTTAAATGGCTAAAGAAAAATAAAGTCTTAAAATATTACAAAATAATTGAGAAAATTTATAAATATATGGAAGTTTTCTGTTCCCAAAATTAAAGCACTTAACTTCTAGTCCAACTTTTCAGTACATTATTCCTAAAATGAGACAGAATGCTCAGTATTAATGAGAATGCTTTAGAAAAGCTTCAGAAATGTCATAGCAAGGCCATATATATGTAATTTCTTATGGTCAGGAGGCAATCTCTGCCTCTACAAAAGCAATGTAATCAACTGGTAGAAAATGCTAAACTACATGAAACATAGTCCAAATCTTTCATCCCAAAATCTTTCAGAGAAATATATAACTAAAAACTATAGTTCATTTCAGAACTCTAAACTTTAATACTAAAAACTATTTTCAAAACGAGTATCAATAAAGCAAATAAGTTTCATTCACTAGACATTAACAGTGTAGAAAGGCATACAACAGTTTCTGATCTTACATTAACTCTCTTTAAAGGAACTTAAAATCCTATCAACGACTTTAATTAATTTAGCACTACCTAATGAAGTCTTTAAACAATTTACAGCAGGAGAAAAAAAACAAAAGTAGGGGTAGAGTTACTTTTCTGAGGTAGATTCTCAGATCAGACAGAGGTTAAGAAAAGCATGAAATAAAACTAGATACAGTACTAAAGTCTGGTTCCCTGATTGAGAGAATCTTCTATTCTGAGGGGCGAGAACACTGTTAACACCAGTTCAGACGCCCTGAGCAGACAGAGTACCCTGGTCAAGACTTGGCCACTGTTCAGTGTAAGGAATCCCAGAAAACCCTTCAGTCCTAGGCAACCTATGACACACAACCCCTAGTTTTAAAACTGAAACGTCAGGCAAACCCAGACAACTGGTCACCCTAGCTTAATAAGTGGTAAAGAGCAATTCAAACATTTATTAAGCACTTATGTATCAATCCTTATGCAATAAAGTCAGCTCCACTGGATTAGATAATCTCTAATTTCTGCTAGGTTTATATTTTTAAGTATCTCACTGAAACTGGCCAAATGCATTGATGCATTTTCTTCTGACTCATCTTACATGGCTGCCTGGAAGCATGAGACTGGTGATCACTACTGCCTTCAGACTCCTCTCTACCAGAACACTTCATTGTCCTGCTTTTACTCCTACCACCCTGGCTGCTCCTTCTCAGTGTCTTTGGACGGCACATCTTCCTCTGCCTGAAGAGAAAATGTTAGTGTCCCAGGGCTTAGTCCTCTACTGTCTTCTCTATTCTCTCGGTGTGATCCATGACCTTTAAACACCATTTATAACCAAGTAATTCTCAAATTCCTATCTCTCACCCAGCAACCTCCCTACTGAGCTCCAGCATTTATACCCAACTTCATATTCAACATCTCACCTGAATTTCTCAAAAGGATCTCAAATTTCACATGGCCAAAAAGAACTCTTGATTCCATTTATTTTCCTTACACTCTCTCCCCACCGCCCTCTGCCCACTAACCTTCCCCATCTCAGGAAATGGCATCACTATCGATTATAATCACAGAAGCCAAAATCAAGATGTCATTTTTGACTCCTCTTTCCCTTAATTGACAACTCCAAACCATCAGTAAATCCTTAAGATTTCTCATGTATATACCAAATCCATTTTCTTCTCTCCAAATCCAATCTAACCATTCTAACTCAAGCCATCATCTCTCACCTAATAACTGCAATGGCCTATTAGCTGTCTTCCCTACTGCTGTTCTTGCCCCACTCCTCTACAATTTCTTCTTCCACAGAATAGCCAAGACTGATTGTAAACACCTAGGACAAGGAATATCTGTTCCATGTCCCCAATACATGGGAACAGTATCTGCCTCATAGTAGGCACTCAATGTGCTCAGGAGTGAAAGAATGAAGTCACTCCCCGGCATCTTCTGACATGCAGAATAGAATCCAGACTCCCTACAACCCCTAACATTATTATCAGGCCTTCCTCACCTCACAGTCCTGCTCACTAAGCTCCAGACTCACTGGAGTTCTTCAAACTTCTCGAACTCATTTCCGCCTTGGAGATTTTTTGTTCCCTCCACCTGAACACTTCTCCCTTCACGTCTGGCTTCTTCTCATCATTCAGGTAACAATGTTACCTCCTCAGAGGCCTCCCTGACCAGCTACTCAAGGAGCTCTGCCCATCCTCTGCCACCTCACCAATCTTCTTTTCCTCTTAGTACTTAACACTAGCTGCATCATCTCACTATCTGTTTACTTACTGATCCTCCCCTCTAAAATGCAAGCCACTACCAGGCAGCATGGTGGTTCATGCCTGTCATCCCAATACTTGGAAGGCCCAGGCAGGAGATCACTTGAGCCTAAAAGTTCAAGACCAGCCTGGGTAACAGTGAGACCTCATCTCTACAGAAAATACAAAAATTAGCCAGCAGTCAGTGCACATGCCTGTATTCCCAGCTGAGCCTGAGAGGCTGAAGTGAGAGGACTGCTTGATCCTGGCAGGTCAAGGCTGCAGAGACCTATGATTGCACAACCGCACTCCAGCCTGACTGACAGAGTGAGACACTGTCTCAAAAACAAAACAAAACAAACAAACAAACAAAACCTAAAAAATGTTTTTAAAAGTAAAATACAAGCCTCCGTAGAGCAAGAACCTTATCTTTCTTGTTCAATGATGTATCCCCAGAGGCTTATACAATGTCTAGCACACCATATTTATTGAAAGAATAATTCACAAACATTTCTAATGCCAAGGTAACAAGCACTATGCTAGGTAACCATTTTTTTTTTAATTAAAGAAAAACAGAAATCAAAATATTGGTATGAAAAGTAATTTGGGGCCAGGCGTGGTGGCTCACGCCTTAATCCCAGCACTTTGGGAGGCCGAGGCTGGCAGATCACGAGGTCAGGAATTCAACACCAGCCTGGCCAATACTGTGAAATCCTGTCTCTACTAAAAATACGAAAATTAGCCAGGCATGGTGGCACACGCCCGTAGTCCCAGCTACTCGGGAGGCTGAGGCAGAAGAATCACTTGAACCCATGAGGCGGAGGTTGCAGTGAGCCGAGATTGCGCCATTGCACTCCAGCCTGGGCAACAGAACAAGATTCTGTCTAAAAAAAAAGAAAAGAAAAGTAATTTGATGTTATTTTTATGTTGATCATGCCCATCCTTAAATGACCCTATACAATAAATTGCTCTTCTTAGAATATTACTTTGCCAGTGTAAAATATGAAAATCCTGATAGTAATAATAATAATGAATAACATGTTATTGCTTAAAAATTGGCTGGGTGCAGTGGCTCATGTCTGTAATCCCAGCACTCTCGGAGGCCAAGGCAGGCGGATCACTTGAGGTCAGGAGTTCAAGACCAACCTGGTCAACATGGTGAAACCCCGACTCTACAAAAATACAAAACATTAGCCAGGTATGGTGGTTTACGCCTCTAATCCCAGATACTCGGGAGGCTGAGGTAGGAGAATCGCTTGAACCCCGGAGACGGAGGTTGCTGTGAGCCGAGATCGCACTCCAGCCTGGGTGACAGAATGAGACTCTGTCTCAAAAAAAATAAAAAATGATATTGCTTAAAAAGTGTCTGATGATCACGTTCTTCACTTTCTTAATGCAAAATTTATGTAATTAGGCTATAACTCAGGAAAATACTATCCAGAAGACTTTATGTCTTCATCATCTTTTCAGAGTATAAAAATACACATTTCATCCAGTCTGAAAAATCATGACTCTCTCAACCCTTTCTGTTCACACACATAAATATTACAACATGACAATAGAGGTTATCAACTCACCATTTATTGCTTGGCCTCAGATTAATTTACCAGCTTCATTCAAGCCAGGAAGTGATCAAATTCCAATTATTAATCAAGTTCATTTCACCAAAGTCATCACTAAAGTTAAGATTCACCCCTTACCCCCCAATACCTATTATGAAAGAACATGTTCAGTTGGGTTTAGGCCAGAGTTATGTTTCATTGTTACCACAGTATTCCTAGAAGTCCATCTAATTCAGAACCACAGCAGAAAACAATATTATTAGTTGTAACCATACCAGTTATTACCACTATCATTATGACATCACTAAACACCTTATGGCAAGCATCAATTAAGAGGTAAATGTAAAGCTCAAAGCAATGAACAAATGACATTTTTTCAGCTCAAGTGTTTCCTGTAACATTTTATTTTCGCACACTATAAAAGTATAATACTCTACCTCAAAATGTTTTAAGAGTTGAATATATGTTTTCGCTTTTGTTTTTTAAAGAGACAGAGCCTCACTCTGTTGCCCGGGCTGGAGTGCAACGACATGATCTCAGCCCACTGCAACCTCAGCCTCCCGGGTTCAGGCAATTCTCCTGCCTTCAGCCTCCTGAGTAGCTGGGATTACAGGCGCACGCCACCACGCCCGGCTAATTTTTGTATTTTTAGTAGAGACTGGGTTTCACCGCGTTGGCCAGGCTGGTTTGTAACTCCTGACCTCAAGTGATCCGCCCACCTCGGCCTCCCAAAGTGCTGGGATTATAGGCATGAGCCACTGCGCCTGGCTTATGTTAGTATTTTAAAAAAATTATTTACGAAAAGGAACATACTTAGCACAACTAGGTATTAGGAAGTACTCAAAGTATCACTTTATCATGCTTGATTTCAAAAGCCTACGGGAAATATGTCTATCCTTCATCCAACTTGAAACCAGTATACATTCTGAACAATAGGGTAATCTCAAATGCAATCAACCAAATGCATAAAAAGATACCAATTGTTCTATTTTAAATTAGCCTTCTAACCACACTTGCCAATACAAAAAAGAGAGGCTTTTATTTGATATTTGTAAGGAAACTTAAGAAAACACTCATTTTAGCTGGGCGCGGTTACTCATGCCTGTAATCCCAGCACTTTGGGAGGCTGAGGCCGGTGGATCACTTGAGGCCAGGAGTTCGCGACCAGCATGGCCAACATGGTGAGACCTTGTCTCTACTAAAAATACAAAAATTAGCTGGGTGTGGTGGCACATGCCGGTAATCCCAGCCATTTGGGAGACTGAGGCACGAGAACCGCTTGGAACCGGGAGGCGGAAGTTGCAGTGATCCAAGATCGCACCACTGCACTCCAGGCTGGGCAACAGAGGGAAACTCTGTCTCAAAAAATAAATAAATAAATACTCATTTTATTTTTGGTTTATAACAGTTACTCCAAAAAGCTGAAAAATGGGAAAAGCCAAATTAAACTGAATCCTAAAGCGAAGGCTAAAAGTTCAGTATTTTTCAAACTACACTTATTATTCCTATTTTTTACTGCCATTTCTTTAAAAAAAAATTTCTTCTGATTTTTAGAAAGTGGTTCTATAAGCCGGGCGCGGTGGCTCACGCCTGTAATCCCAGCACTTTGGGAGGCCGAGGCAGGAGGATCACGAGGTCAGGAGATCGAGACCACCCTGGGTAACACGGTGAAACCCCGTCTCTACTAAAAATACAAAAAAATAACCCGGGTGTGGTGGCGGGAGCCTGTAGTCCCAGCTACTCGGGAGGCTGAGGCAGGAGAATGGCGTGAACCTGGGAGGCGGAGCTTGCAGTGAGCCGAGATCGCGCCACTACACTCCAGCCTGGGCGACAGAGAAAGACTGTCTCAAAAAAAAAAAAAAAAAAACTAAAGTGGTTCTATAGTACCTTTGGCTTTTCCTTTAGTCTAGTTATATATTTGTATAAACAAATAAACCAGTTTCAGGACAGCTTGAATTAATCCACATATTAAGATAAACTCATTTTAATACCAGAAATTATTTACTTATCCCTGCCTTCACACTTTGTTTTCAGACAAGTCCAATTTTAGGGCTGGAATAATTGCTCAAATTATTCAAAAGATATACTGAACAATATTTCAAAAATAAAAATTTCCTTCCAATTATCAGGAAAAAAGGTCCCTACATGAATCAACTCAGAGGTCATTATCTTGACCTTCACCATCTGCTCACTTGCACAAGAAGCAACACAAGTTTTTCATCTAAGGTAGAACTTTTTAAAACTTAAAATTATCTAAGATAATTTTAAATATTTATATTTGCTCAAAAAGGGAAGAAACACAATAAATAATTACATTACTATTTCAGCATGTAACTGAAAAAAAACTTTACAAAGGCATGTCCTGACTTGTCAATAGTTTATTACTGACAAATTGAGATAAAATACATACTTTGGTACAGCTATACTGTCCAAATTTCTTCAATTAGGGTAGTAATTACAAAGTATCCTCTTCCACTATTATTCTATGCCATAGCAAATGTCTCTCTAGAGGCTGCAACATAACAAAGTCCTTCGTTACCTAACTTTAAATACTAAAATGTTCTCTTCTTCCTAGAAAACAATGAAAAATAGACACCATGCCTCAGTGATATACCTCCAAACAAGCTGCTATTATCACGAATAAATTTTAATAGGTTAGATTGCAAAGACATTACAGATGGCTTTTGACATTTTCAGATAAACTGAAACCACTCCCTCCAGCCCCTAGGGATAATGAAGTAGCTTCTCAATCACTGAAGTTACTTAGATGACAGGATTTGTGAATAATCTGTAAACTCGGGAAACCTCTGAACTGTCTCCTTAGGACAAATAACATACAATTTAGAAAAAAAAAATCCCTACTTAATACTGCTTTTTACTAAATTCATGCCTACATTAAATTTCAGGATCAAACTTAAGTGAATGATTCAAATCATTCATTAACATACATTAAGTGTTTCAGGACCAAACTTAAGTGAATGATTCAAATCTAACTCTGGCTTTTTAAAATGTACATATGTCTTTTTAAAAACCACACATCACAAATATCTAAACTATCAAAGAATTGCATTATTCGAAATTTCAATAGCCTGATACTAGTGACTCGGTCAGTGCCTGATTTTTTTTAAATAGCAGAAAATATTACCATCAAAAGACCCCTTTCCAAATGCTGCTTCTGCTTTTTTGTTTTGTAAATAACAGCTTTGGAAATGTATGCAAAAATATCTCTAAGTTACACAAGTCGAGCTCAAACACTTTGTGGAGCAAGGTTACTTAACAGGAGTCCCAGAAACAGCTAAAATTGTAGGGAAAATTTTGCGTATGTATATATGGCATTGTTTTTTCTGCGCAGAATGTCCATATAACTCAGTTTCTCAAAAGGCCTCAAAACTCAAGATTAAAAGTGCCTGGAAAGACCATCATCTTTAGAGAACATATCACAGGCAACCCAAGACTTATTTTTTATCCCAAGTTAGGGGAGGATTTATCCTAATTTTGTGGCTCCTACACAACTTCTGAGCGACGCAAGCATGAAATGGCTGTCCGATACAAACAGACCCCTTCAGATACGGAATGCAGCAAACCCCTAATTTTCCTTGAAGGGGCCACGGAAAGCCAAACGGATTCGTAACCCGGTTGCTCAATGGTCCATTGGCTACTGCAGGACGCGCCCTCCTCTTACGCCGCAGGGGCTGCGGGGCGGCGACCAGGTTCCTCCGAGGGGCTGAAGTTCCCTTGGGGGTGGCTGAGAGCGGCCGCATCTCTGGCAGCATCCTCCCTCCCGAAAACGCGCCCTAAAAGTAGCGGCTGCGGGCGTGGGCACAGCCAACCCCAGCCTGCGCCTACCAGAAGTCGGGAGGGCGCGGAACTGCGGCCCCTCCGAGACGCGCCCGGGCCGCCGCCGCAGCACTGTCGCAGCGACCTTCCCGCCCGGGTCCCCGCGAGCAAACGGGCAAGCCCCGTTATCACGCAGGTCACACACCCCACGAGTAAAAGGAAAAAACCGGGCAGACAATAAAGCCCAACCCGCGGGGGCCCAAGCGAGCTGGAAGTTGGGGGCGCTGGGGCTGCAGCCCAAGGAGGAGCGGCGGGGACGACGGGATGCGGGGCTGATGCGCCTGGGACGCGGCAAGCCATATGTCAGCCCGGGTGCTGACAGCGGGGAGGACACTGGGCACGCGGCGGCGTCGGGGAGGCGGCCGGGGTAAGACAGGCCTGAGGCGGGAGGGGAGCGGCGGCGAGGTCCCGAGGCGCCGCGGTCGGCCGTGACCCCCACCCCAGCCGGGGCGCTGTCCCGTTCCTTACCGGCAGGGAAGCTGCGGGCTCCGCCGGGGCTATCCCGGCCGCTGGCCTCCGGAGCCAGGAAGCGCCCCCACATCGCGGGCGAGAGGGCCGGGTGGGCCAGGGACGCCCGACTCCTCACGTCCGTCCTCCTGCTTCTTCGGCGGCGGAAACTTGCGCGGAGCGTGGGCCTCGGCGACACGGGCAGGAGGAAAGGCGGGATGGCTGGTTAACGGCTGCTCAGCTACGGGCGGGGAGCGCAGGGGCCAGATTCGCCGCACTGCCGGCGCCTGCCATGGCCAAGCCGGCTGGGCTGAGGCCCGCGCCGGGGAAGCGGCGACTCGGCGGTGACGGCTGCTAGATCCCCGGCTGAGCCCAGGCTCAAAGGCTCCAGGCGAAGTTGCAGCTGCGGGTTCTCTCCGCCCCCTCCGCCGGCAGAGCCAGAGCCGGGGCTGGGGCCGCGAGGGGGCGGGGCCTCGGGCAATGACTTCAGGCGTGCGCGGCGCCGCGCGGGGCGGGGACTGCGGGGGGCGGGGACTGCGGGGGGCGGGTGAGCTACCCCGACCCCGCTTCGCCTCCTTGGCGGCGACTGGGCTGTCCCGCCCTCCCGCCGCATCCCTCTGTCTCCATCCTCCCGCCCTGCGAGTTGAGTAGAGGGCAGCGACTTGGCCTATTTTGCGATACTCGCCCCTCCCTTGGGTAATCCCTCACGCCCTCCCTCCGGGCACCTCTGTGAAGACACGTGGAAGACCTGCCCCTGGCGTCACAACCGCTCGAGATGAAAAAGCCAAGCCAGGGCGCGGCTGAGGGGGCTTCCAGCCTCCCTTGGAATTAGGATTGGGATTTAAATCCTCATCTGTATTCCTTCGTTTATAGATTACTTTAGGGGCAGAAAAGGGGTGGTTTTCCTTTACTAATTTAATGGGGGCGTGGGGGCAACACAGGCACCAGAATATAGCACCGGGATGTGCACCGGAAAAGGCCCGGGGGTAATTAGTACCCGAGGGGGAGAGGGGCCGTCATTGTAATCGCACAACGTTTCAGATTAGCAAGCAGAAAGTAAAAATGGCACCAAAGTCTGTAAAGGGAGCCCTTTCCTCCTTGCCCCCTACTCCTTCACGTTCTTCCTCTTCTTGGCCAGTTTCCACCCTTCACCTGAACCCTTAGTGCAGGAGGAGACGTCCTAAGGAAGGGCGAAAAGGGACAGCATCGTTTTATTTTTAAATCTTACTTCTCACTGGCAATATGGTGATGCTTCCAACGTTTAGTTACGAACTAGTTCGTATAAAAAATTCTGGGCCAGCACTGTGGTGGGAGGCGGGCTCTGCAGTAGGCCCATCACTCAGAGGTAAGTCGGAACGCAGGTCGCTTAACTAGAGAGGCTTTGAGTTCCGCTTTTCCTGTTCTGGAATCTTGCTAACAAAGGCCTCATATTTGCATTTTTCCCTTAAAGACATTTTAATTGGGAAATACTACTTAAAATTCTTGGAAGTTAAATTAGATTTAGGTGTGTGTTCTATCACTTACCACATCCGTGTTGTAATTTATCTGATTGGAGTTTTACATTTAGTCTCCCTGTGGTAGACTTCCAATTATTTCTCCAAATCATGTAATGTTAGCCAAGGGTCAGCTGTTTCTGATGATAAAAAGATACAGAAACATGAAAGACGAATGTGATTGGTTCCTTTTTATTATTTTAATGTGCACTAGCTCGTTTTATCTAACACTTGAAGAGGATAGATTTTTTTAAGTCCCAAAAAGAAAATTAGCAGAAGCTATAGCACTATGTATAGATTTTTTTTTCATGCTTTGTAGTTACCACAGTCTCAGGAACAGAATTTTTGAAATTCATTTGTGATGCAGTTCTAAGAAGTGTATAAAATATTACAGAAATATCTTGGCCTTTGCGAGTTTAAAATACACTTATTATTTCAAAACTGCCAATTTCCTAATTCTAAACAGTGTTTAAAGAAAATCGTTTACTCGGGTTTTCTACATCTTTTTATCAATATAAAGGGCATGCTACTACACACAAAAAAAGTACATGCGAAGGTGAAAGTATCTAAAATATTTCAATATCTATTACAGAGTAAAAGCAAACAGTAAAAACATGTTGCTCTTTTGGCACTTGGCACCAAATATGAAATTTTTGTGTCCCTAGTAATTAAACTTGGGAGGATAGAGGGCTAATGCAATTAGAACTAATTGAAATACTAAGTGAGAATATTATGTTGCTAAAGTATCCATTTCTTTTAATCATATGAATTCTGAGTATATACTGAACTAATGCTTCCCCCCAAATCCATGATACATGGATGATATGTACATGGTATGATACAGCCATGGTTTTCAGAATGATTAAAATTTATCATAACACAAGTTGGAGAACCTAAGGACTATCTAACCATTACTAAACCCCATGTGGTAAACTGCCATATTTTTGTTTTGTTGTGACAGTGTGTTAGGACTACAAGGAGAATTTTAAAAGCAAAGACAGTTATCGTTGAACCTCAATAAACCTCAATCTTGGCAGTTGTTCTGTGCAGATATAAGTAATGAAAATAGTGACTCTGTGTATGTGTGTGTGTGTGTGTGTGTGTGTGTATAAGTATCATTGCTCAGATGAAATTAGGATATTTAATGTTTTGGGAGGGGACTTTTTAAGAATATAAACTAGATCACAAAAGAAGAAAATAGTACTAAAAATGCCACATTTAATACCAAACTATATTAAACTATTTGTTTAAAATGTCTCATTTCAAAAAAAGACATTATTTAAAACTGAAAAATAAGTGTTGCATTTATAATTCTTAAATTTGTATATAAATCTTTGAACTGATTAAGTTGAGCTATCTTACATGTGTTTTTCTGATTCAAATTTATCAGATTGTGCAAACATCATCTACAGAACTGAAGAGGGATATGACAATGAATAAAAGTGATATTTTTAAATTAGAAGAGCCAGGTGCAGTCACTCATGCCTGTAATCCAGTGCTTTGAGAGACCAAGGCAGGAGAATCACTTAAGCCCAGGAGTTGGAGGCTGTAGTGAGCTGTAATGATTGTGCCACCGCACTCAAGCCTGGGCAACAGAGCAAAACCCTGCCTCTAAAAAATAAATAAAATGAGAAGGAAACCCCATGCATAATATGAGGAAAGCTCAAGAGAGCTTTATATTTACAAAAATATAAAATATATAAATAGCAAAAGAACCCAACAATATGTAGGAAAAGTAAACCAACCAATAACAATTGAAATAGTTCCTAAAGAACTATTGCTACTACATAGAAAGAGATTTATGAATGAATTCTAAAAGATTCCAAGGACTAGACAATTCTTGTATATCAAGTGTGTATCAAGGACCATGCTATACAACCTCTTCCAGATCACAAAGGTGACAAGTTATCCAATTATTTGTGGATTGTTGTAATCCCAAAAATCATTTATAATTTAAAAAAACACTCTTTCTTTTGAAGATGGATTTGACTATCTTAATTGGATCCCTGGCAGGTAGAATTCAAATAGGTGAATGGAAAACAAATAGGTTACTTAACCTGTGCCTCAATTCCCTTACCTGTAAATTGGGGATTATAATGATAACTGCCTCACAGGATTGCTGTGGGGTTTAAACATGTTAATCTTTGTAAAATAGTTAGAACAGTGTATGTGTACATCCTATATTGGTAATACAGACAAACATACAATTTAGAAATGTAACTGTTATAGCTCACCAAGAAAAAATAACATTCATTGGTATAGGCCAGGTCAGTTGTAGATGATAATTTATATACATGTATCAGAATAAAGTAGTGACTGGGATCTTTTCCTGACCCTTTGGGGTTACTAATTAGTCCAGGAATTATGGTGAAATAGTACACTCTTAACAAATATATACCAAATTTTTGGGAGCCAAGTTCATAGAAACCTTCATTCTAGGCTGTGATTTCCTACCCAGTGCTACCAAAATAAAGGAAGGAAAATTAGGGAGAGGTAGCTAGGTGGTATGGCGAGGCCAAGACAAGGACACCTTATCTCAAGTCCCTGATTCCTGGGAGGTACAGAAAATGAATCTCACCTGTACCTTTGACTCCAGAGTTGGGTTGCAATAACCAATAAGAAAGAAGGTATGATATGGACCACTGAAGCAGTCCTTGGGATAGGAAGTGGGTGTGGGAGGGATAGAATTCTGCCAACAGATGAAGTCTTCCAAAGGACCATCAATGTTTTCAGGAACTGCTTAGGACTGACATCTTTGTCAATGGAACTTATTATGGTAACCACCTGGTCATCCTGAGCGTATGAAAAGAGACAAGATCATTTACTTGTTTGGGACAGCAACCTGGACAGTGCATAAGAAGACAAATTCTTCCCTCCCTGCCTGCTTTTTCAGACACTGGAACAGTAAATAGAAGGTTGGAAGTGTGGATTCAAGAAAGCAGATCATGCCTTCACACACAAACCCACACACAGCCTCCTACCTGACCTGCCCTGGTGGGGAAGAGGACTGTTGAAAGCTGAAAATGTTCAAAATGTTGGGGAATTGGATTGAGATGTACTCAGTGGAAAAGGGGATTTTCAACAGTGTACAGCTGGCAGTGTTATTGGGGGAGAAAAAACTTTGAGTATATACTTCCAATGATTTGAGACTTCTCACTAAACCAGTTACCTATTTTATGTTGAGTAGTTAGTAATACCTCCATTTTACAGATGGGGAAAAAAGACCAAAGAGAAGTTAGGGAAGGTCACACAGGAAGTAAAGAGCTAGAATTCAAATCTGATCCATGTGACTCCAAAGCCCATGCCTTTTCCGCCATGCTCTTCAACATGCTGTGAAATAAAAATTAGAAGATTTCTTTTCAGATGCCATATGAGAAGGAAATACCTAACTATAGGATTTCTGTATAGTGTTAGGGTTCAGCTAAGACTGGAAACCATGTGACATTAATCTGCGGTGGTATATGGTTTTCTTTAGCTGTAGCCAGCAGTTTGAGTGTAGGAAGAAAGAAGGCAGATAGATAAACAGGGTTTTGCAGTGTGGGCACTCAAACAGGAAAAAGGGGCAAAGAATGTAAGGATATTGGCAGAAGAATAGATGAAGTGATGGGAAACTGGGTGTAGCCTATCTGGAAAAAGCAGTTAAATCAAGGCAAAGCTGAAATGTGGAGAGAAGGTCATGGGAATAAAGGAGTGGAACTTTTACAATTGAAAAGCAAATATAATGAGAGTAAGGGAGTAAAAGTTGGAAAGATACGATGTTAGGGTGGGAGAGGAGGATGCTGAAGTTTGAGACTGCAGAGATGAGACAGTGGAGGAATTGATCTGTGAGGTGACCTTGGAGTGTGTCTCTCTGATCTCCCTTCAAGAAAGACCTTGATATTCAGCCATGAGGAATGTAGTTGGCTGACAGCCTCCAACTTTTAGTGCCTGTAGGACCTGCCTCAGCCTTTTTATTTAATTTTATTTTTTATTGATACATAATAGATGTACATATTTTGGGCATATATGTGATAATTTAATACATTCATATAATTTGTAAAGATCAAATCAGTGTTATTGGGATGTCCATCATCTTAAAAATTTTCTTTATGCTAGAAACATTCAAATTATTTTCTTCTAGCTATTTTAAAATATAACAATAGATTATTGTAAACCACAGTCGCCCTACTCCATGCTTTTCCCAGATATCCCCAGCCAGTGACAAAGCTCAGCCGAGATACTTGGGCCTGGCCATTCTTTGCAATGCAGAGCCCTTCTAATCATCAGTCCTTGTTCTCTAGCTTGCTGTTGAGTTGACTGGGAACTTGTCAGATGTGCATTGTGGTCTGAGCCTTTCCTTTCCAGTCCTGCTTCCTGTGCCTTTCATCTTTCACAGGTGTTACCTTCCAATAAGCCTCTTACACCCCTAGTTCCATTTTAGCATCCGCTTTCCAGAAAAGCCAACTGACACATTCTGTGAGGAAGATGAAGATTGGGGGTTTTGTTTTAAAAAGGAAAACAGGAGGTCTACACAGCATGATGAAAATGTTTCCCAGAGAGGACAGTATACTGAGGATGAGTTACCAGGAAGGCAGCATGTAGCAGCATAGACTGAGACTATACAGGAGTATAAATGAGTAAATGTCTTAAGTTCTGAACAGCAGAGAAAGGCAGAATTGAGAGAACTGGGCCTGGCACAGTGGCTCACGCCTGTAACCTCAGCACTTTGGGAGGCTGAGGCTGGCAGAACACTTGAAGTCAGGAGTTCCAGATCAGCATGGCCAACATGGTGAAACCCCCTCTCTACTAAAAAAATACAAAAATTAGCTGGGCATGGTGGCACATGCCTGTAGTCTCTGCTACTCTGGAGGCTGAGGCATGAGAACTGCTTGAACCCAGGAGGCAGAGGTTGCAGCCAAGATCACACCACTGCACTCCAGCCTGAGCGACAGAGTGAGACTGTCTCCAAAACAGAAAGACAGACACGACAGTTTCAAGTTGGACTCAGAATACCACTTGGGCACATGGAACTCTGGAGGAGAAGGTCCTCAATGCTTCTGACTGGACTGGGCCAGGGAGCTACTGCCCCCCAATTAAAAAAGTTTGCCACTATTCAGAGTACTTCCAGGAGCAAATTACAAACTTGTGAAACTTACTGAGTTAACTGATGTCAATAGGATTTTAATTCATTAATTAAGAATAATTAGTTACAACTTCACTACTCAAATAATTTTAAATCATTAAGACAGTTTTCATAGTAGCTTCCTTACTTCTGGGTACTAGAAGAGAATTCAATTCAATATACTCTGTTCCCGTTGGTAAGGTTTTTTTATTCCAAAGAATTTTCAGCGTATTGCTTACCCAGTGGAAGAATGTAGGGATCTCTGGAACTGTAAATAGAGTTAACATCACTTAAACAATCCCTAGAGGAATCTGAGCTAATTTAAGGAGTGGACCTTTTTGCTAAGATTTCAGTGGAGGTCTGGAATTTTAACAAGTTATTATAATAAACTCAGAAAAACAGACAAGTCTAACTACAATTTTCAGGTTTATGGGAGAACTAATTTCTTTATGGCTTTTTTTCTGGTCATAAAAATAATACATATAAAAAACAAAAAGATGATTTAGAGATATTATTATTCATCTGGCAATTATTTGTTGAGTACCAAAGTAGGGGAGAAAAACTAAAACCAGACACAAGTGTGAAGGATCGGTTACTTCACTATAACATTTCAAGCTTTTTAATTTTCTATTGTGTAACCAGTATAAAATAGCTATATGGGAAGGCTTCTTTGTTCTTTTGTTTTTAACACAATAGAGTTACTTTGTCCTGCCGTCCTTATAATCTCTCATGTATGGGTCACTCTTAATTATTTTATTTTGTTCAACAGTATCCTGATTGCAGAAGTCTCTTAGCCTGACATAAATTCAAGCTGTAAAATCTAGAACCTGTATTTTTAAAAATAAATAAACTTTTAAAAGACCACTTTAAAATGGAATACAATAATTACGAAATTATGATTGTAAATATATGTTAAATATAAAAGTGGAAAAAGCAACATTTAAATCAGTATATTTAATAAGTGTTATAAGTAAATTAATAAATATTTTAAGTTGACATTTAACTATTTTGCTTATATCTCAAAAGTTTAACACATCAGGTTGTCCCAAACACACTTTTGAAAATGTGCTTTAGAAAAACGGGAAAATCATATTATATTTGGACATATCTAGACCAAATTAAAATTGGTCTTTTTTCCTCTACTTTGCGGCATAAACAAGGTATTTCTTAAACAGCCCTAATATTTTGTAGTGTTATTTTGGGGGAATCTATTTTTAACATACTACCTAAAACTGAACTCAGAAAAAAATCTTACAGACTTTTTTTACAAGCAAGACTTAAAAGTTTTTAAAACCCTAGTAGAATAACCAATCTCTACTTTCATTATAGTAATTGACACTAGTTTTTTAATGTTCTATGCACCTTGAATCACCAGTTACTACAATGAAAACACAAAGAGCCACCTGAATATCAAATACATGCATTATTACAAGTGCTCACACGGAATATGAGATGAATTACTGATGAACAAAGCATCTAAAATCAACTTATACTCCTCATGCATATGCTGTGGATGATGACAAAAGAAATTATGAAAAGATATATATATGATATACATGAATCTATATTCTCTAATTGAGACATTATACAAATCTTTATAATAGACTTTATATTAATTAATTAGGTACTTTTTTCCATTACAGTAATCTCCTAATGAAGTTATGGAGCAAACTTCAGCTTTAGCAAAGTTGGGCAAGTTATTTATACTGCGAAAGATAGCTGAAGGATAACTGTTTTCAACTGAGACCAAAAGACATAGTAGTTAGCATTTATTTTCATAATCTTAAAAAGGCATACAATTTCGGTAGGAGGCAGTAGTTATAGTGACACTAAGGGAGATGGTAGATTGGGAGCATTCAATCAGCATTCGGGGAGAATAGAGAGAAAAGGCAATATCAAGAGAATTCGTCACCACAGTTGTCTGGATGCTGTTGCCTTCTTTGCTCACCCTTGAAGGTCAGTCTGGTTCTGGCCCAGGCCCAAGATCTAAGTTTCAGATCACGGCAGGCTTAGGAGAACAGTGCAGACTGGAACATCTAATCCCACCCCAGCTTGCCCTAAGATGGCCCCTGAATTTGTTCAGCTCCTGGGCCTGCCGCCGTCCTAACTTGCCTGAAACTGTTTTCCAAAAAATTAGAGCATAGATGAGCAATGCCACGTTAGCTTCAGTTTTGATTTTGGGTGTTACCACATAATTTTTTTAAAAGAATTTTTATCTTCCCACATACCAACTTTTAGAACAGATGGCTTAAAATGTCTTAGAGGAAATTAGTTGTAATCAGCAGATGAGAGTGTGTCTCCTTGTTTTCGTGGCAGAGGTAGCTATCACCCCTTAAGTACCTATCTGCTACATGTGAACTGGCACCAGGCATTGTAGTTTTTCTGTTGCATTTTCATCCAGAGGGTTATGATGGGCTTCGTTAAAATGATTTGGTACACATGTGGGCATTTGCCTGCAAGTATAACCTCTGTGAAGAGGTAAACTGTATAGGCTTCAAGGTGGCTTTCTGCTGAGGTGGCTGCCAGCCTCCCTGGAGAAGGTGTCAGCTGAAGACCTCAAGTAAGAGCCACAGTGAAGCTCATATGCCTTGATCTCTTTTCTGATCCTGGCAAAAGGCCAGCTGTGGAGTACTGCTGCAGTCAGGAGCTGGGGGAGTTGGCAGATTGCCAGATAAGGGGCCATACTGTCATTTATAAGGCAATGGCTTTTATAGATCTCTAGTAACCCATACTCCTACTTACTTGAACACTATGATTTCTGGGAGAAAAAAGAGCCAGATAACTTTCCCATTGGAATAAAACCAAAACAAACACTGTATTTAGGTTCACAGGATCTATATTGAATGTCTTTTCAAAGTACTTCATACTTATTTCAGTCAATATCCTTTGCCTGATCCTGTGTCCACAACACACATGCCTCCTGAGTCTTAAGATGCTCCTTGCTCCTCTAGACACCTTTGAAGATACTCTCATTCCACTACGCCTGGGGCCATGTAATGTCTGTAATTGCCTCATTAACTCTCACCTTGAGTTCTCTGAATCTGGTTTTCTCAAACATATTTGAGGATAAGGAGACTGTCACTTAATGTGAAAGGTGTCAGAATTTTCTTTTTTTCTTTTTTTTTTCTTTTTTTGAGACGGAGTCTCGCACTGTCGCCTGGACTGGAGTACAATGGCATGATCTCGGCTCACTGCAATCTCGGCCTCCTGGGTTCAGGCAATTCTCCTGCCTCAGCCTCCCCAGTAGCTGGGATTACAGGCACCCGCCACCACGCCCAGGTAATTTTTTGTATTTTTAGTAGAGATAGGGTTTCACTGTGTTGGCCAGGCTGGTCTCAAACTCCTGACCTCATTATCTGCCCACCTCAGCCTCCCAAAGTGCTGGGATTACAGGTGTGAGCCACCGCGCCCAGCCAAGGTGTCAGAATTTTCAAAGGAAAAATGGAATATTGATAAACTGAGTAAAATATGATTACCATATAATGTCATCTTAAGATGTTCTTGTAGTTTCAAACTTGTATAAACAAAATTGGTATTTATACATGTGTCCTATTAATGCACACGAGAGTAGATTAGAACCTATATCCAGAGTATTTTTTCTTGTGCCTTGAAAAACCAACTTAAAAATAAGGTATTTCAAAATTTGGTTTCTAAATACGTTTCAATAAGGTTTGTTATTATTCTTTTTCTTTTAAAATTACATTTTTATAAATAATAAAATTTTAATTGTGCTCCAGTTAACTATTAATAAATATTCAGAATCCTTAAGGGTTTATTTTAGTTAAAATGTTTAGGACTAATGCATTAGTAAATTGAAATTTGGATACAGGAATTGCCTGGATCTTTGTTTTACAAAAAAAATCAGAAAAAAGTAATACCAACCCTATAAAATCCTAAATCTCTAATAATGTAAATATATTATTAGTGGTAATGTTATTTGTTGAGTTTAAGAGTATATTTAATTTTATAGAACAATAAAATATTTTGATATAGAATATTCAGGGAAAAAATAGAGAAGGAAGACAATTGTAAGTCGGAGAGAAACTGGGATCTGTCTATAATGACTGTGTTAAAGAATAGCACTAAAGCCACCTCATAAACCAATGACGTTGTATCACGAAATGACTTTTAAGTTGATGGAGCTGCAGCAAATAAGTTCAAAGCAAGAGGTGCCAGCACCAGAGACTTGGGTTTTGATACAGCTCTGCTCCCTACTGGCTTATCATTGGGATCAAATAGGATCATTGCAGTACTATCTCATAAAGCCATTGTGAGGAATAAATAGGATCATGTTGGAAAAGTGCTTCACAAGTTTTAGGTAATCTAATCTTGCTAAGAAAAGGGGCGAATAATTCACAAGAAAAACCAGAGTAATGATAAAAGGTATTATTGCATGCTAAGTGAGCACTGTGCCAAGAATTTCACATGCAGCTTCCCATTTCATCTTCATAACAACATGATAAAGAATAGTATGAATTGGCCGGGTGCGGTGGCTCACTCCTGTAATCCCAACACCTTGGGAGGCCAAGGTGGGCAGATCACTTGAGGTCAGGAGTTCGAGACCAGCCTGGCCAACATGGTGAAACTCCGTCTCTACTGAAAATACAAAAATTAGCTGGGTGTGGAGGCGCATGGCTGTAATCCCAGATACTCGGGAGGCTGAGGCAGGAGAATCGCTTGAACCCAGGAGGCGGAGGTTGCAATGAGCCGAGATCGCGCCACTGCATTCCAGGCTGGGTGACATGAGGGAAACCGCATCTCAAAAGAAAAAAAAAAAAAAGAATAGTATGAGTTATTATTATCTCCATTTCATAGATGAGGCAAATGAGTCATAGAGAGGTGCCAGGAGACATAGTTAATTAGTGGCAGAGTAGGAATTCAAAGACAGTTCCACCTGACTCTAGAATCTGAGCACTTTAATATTAGCTATAGTATATTAAAAAGTTCAACTTCATTAGTAAGTAAAGATTTAACAATTAAAACATATGGACATGGGAGTGCAAAGGAATGATAAACATCAAATTCCAGTTGTCTCTGTAGAGGGAGGGAGGAAGGCATTGGAATGGATTTGGGAAAGTGGTGCATGACGATTTCAGTTATATATGTAGTATTGACTCTCATGTATTCATCCTGATATAGTGGAAAGAGCATAAGTATTGAGTTAGTCAAGCCAGGCTTTTAATGAAAATGTGGAAATTTGTTAAGACTTGACAAACCAGAACCAGGGGTTATATATTTTTTCTGCATACTTTTTTGAATGCTTAAAATAATTTTCATGGTAAAAAAAAAAAGCAGTGAACTAAAGTCATCCTACTTCATTTATACAAAGATTAAATAATTAAGAAAATAATTTTGGTGAAGGTTTGGAGAAACCGATATACACTTCTAATAGTATAAATGGGACCAACTCTTTTGGAAAGCAACTTGGCAATATGTGCCATAAAAACAATCTGGCTCTTTGGTTCAGTAAGTTTCCTTTTGGGACATTATCCTAAGGGAAAAAAATCAAAATGTACATGTGCATACAGAAACATACACACTGGAAAAACTGTATGCATGAAAATGTCAACTGCAGTGTTGTTTATAACGATGGAATATGATAAACAATCTAAAATTTTAACAATAGAAAAGTAGTCAATATTTTGCAGCCTTTAAAGAAATATTTATGATGGCTATGTAGCAATTTGAGTAATGATTGTGATGTAATGTTAATTGAAAAAAGGATATGAAGTTGCATATCCACCAGGATTAAATCAATGAAAAAATAATCATAGAAAAAGATTTAGGAAGAAACAGCCTAAAGTAATGAGTACAGAATTTGTGTCAAAATGATGAGATGCATTCTTTCCTTTTTCTCTTCCAGATTTTTGATATAGATTTGACATATTGTTTTTGAAATGGAAAACTACAGTTGTCCATTGGTACCCAAGAGGGATTGGTTCCAGGATCCCCAAAGATACCAAAATTTGAGGATGCTCAAGTCTCTTATATAGAAGGGCATAGTATTTGCATATAACCTGTGCACATCCTCCAGTATATTTAAATAATGTCCAGGGTACTTACAATACCTAACACAATGTAAGTGCTATGTAAATAGCTGTTATGTTGTTTTTTTTATTGTTGTACTATTATTTTTTATTCTTGGGAAGTTTTTCCTTTTTTTTTTTTTTTCTGAGACAGAATCTTGCTTTGTCACCCAGGCTGGAGTGTTGACCTTCTGGGCTCAAGTGATCCTCCTGCCTCAGCCTCCCGAATAGCTGAGATTACAGGAACGCACCACTATGCCTGCCTAATTTTTGCATTTTTTGTAGAGATTAGGTCTTGCCATGTTGCCCAGGCTGGTCTCAAACGCCTGAGCTCAAGCAGTCCTCCCACCTCAGCCTCCCAAAGTCCTGAGATCATGGTATAAGCCACTGCACCTGGCCTTTTTCCAAACAGTTATAATCAGCCACTGGTTGAATTCACAGTTGGTTGAATTCATGGTTGGTTGAATCTGCAGATGTGAAACCAATGGATACTAATAGCCACCTATATTACATAGTACAAACCTAGCTTTGAAAATAGTGAGACAGATATGAAAATAAACTAGAATTCACGGGAGAAAATGAGGGGTTCTAAGAAAGGTGTAGACAATACATTACCAATACAGGAGGTCAGAGGAAGGGGAGATCTGTCAGGCTGGGGTCTTCAGGAATGCTTCACGAAGGAGGGACTATCAGTGGACTTCAGTAATTTGTAGAGCCGGGTAAGAGCTGGGGATGAAAGGAGGGCTAAGCAGGAGGCATGCAAGTTGCAAAGTGGAGCAATGGGAGATGTTCTCAGGAAACAGCACTGTGTGTCACGGAATATTTTACTTTCAGTTTTTCTGGGTTTTCAGAAAATGTGGTAACTTTAAAGTTTTCACAGTTGAATTAATTCCACAGAACAACTGGTTGTAGAATCATAGCAACATAATTATGAGTTGTGCTTCTGGCTCCAAATCTTTCATCTAAAAATAATCGCAGTGACCACATCTTGGGAAAACAAAGCCATTACCTATTCTTGTGCTCCAGCTATCTCGGTAGTCACTTACTGGAAAATGGATTACAGGTAAAATAACTGCATGTTTTTAGGACACTACTTGTCTCTCTTACCTTCAGTGAGTTGATTAACGAAATAATTTAAAAACTTATATTCTCCAGGCATTCTCTAAGGCATGAACATGATTTTGAAGAAATCCTTTACCATCACACATCACACAAGCCTGCCTGTGCTCCTCCAGAAACGTAGCCCTAGTACTCCTGGAAGCCCATTTTGTTCCTTCAGGGAGTATGCTTTCTTTGTGCAGAGAGGAGAAAAATGCTGGAGACAGAGATGTGGGGAGTAAGAGGAGGGACGGTAGGTAAGTCTCAGCCACAGGTAAGATGAGTGGGAACCTGTATGCTCCACTGCCCCCATGTGTACCAGCTGTTCTTTGCCCAGCTTCCTTGGGCTAGAAACATATTCAGTGAGTAATACATGAATCAACAAGATGATAGGTGTGTCATTTATCAAATGATTACTTGTGCTAGAAGTTTACAACCATTCAATTTTATTTATTTTATTTTATTTTATTATTTTATTTTATTTTAGATAGGGTTTTGCTGGATGCGCAGGCTGGATTGCAGTGGCTCAATCTCAGTTCACTGCAGCCTCAACTTCCCAGGCTCAGATGATTCTCCTACCTCAGCCTCCCAAGTAGCTGGGACTACAGGTGTGTGCCACCACGCCTGGCTACTTTTTGTGTTTTTTATAGAGATGGGGTTTTGCCACGTTGCCCACGCTGGTCTCAAATGCCTGGGCTCAAGCAATCCTCCCTCCTAGGCCTCCCAAAGTGCTGGAATTACAGGTGTGAGCCATTGCGCCGGGCCACATCCCTTAACTTTAATGATCATAAGAATCCTGCCCAGCTTATAATTCAAATGCCAGGGTACTCAGGTTCTTCAACAGACTCTAGTTTTCTTATCCTCTAAGATTAGTGTAAAATAAAAGTGCCTGATTGCCATCTCACACACTGGTGAGAAATTCTCTGTTCCTCTCCACATCTCCAGGTTTCCCTTCCTTGCCTCACATTCTGTTTTCCTACACAGGCCAAATTCTCCATGTCTCCTTTACATCCCCCTGGTGTTTGTGTTCCCTTTTGCTATATAGCCTTGCCGAATACTTGGCGCATCACCCCAATTTCTTCACTCCCCAAAGTTATCACCCACATATGATTGCTTGGTTAACAAACATTTATTTAACTTTTGGTAAAAGGTAAGGAATGTTCCACTCTGGTGCCAAGTAACAACTTAATATTGGATATTAAAACTGTATCCCCAAATAGAGCCCCAGATTCCTGGCTACTTTGCTGGACTTCTCTCTTTCCTAGGGTTGGTGCTTTCATCTCAAACTCCAGGATGCTCAAAATTATTGTTTTATTATGCAAAGCATTTTAGTTCTCTGCCTGGGGCTTCCTCCTTCATATCCAAAGCGGACCTATACAGGTGTTTTCCTAAACTTAAGAGTCCTAGAAATCAGAAAGCTATAGTCTGCTACAATTTTAAATAGCATTTACACAAGATGAAAAAACAAGTTTAGTGAAATTAAATGACTGCCCCCAAAAAAGGGTCAGAGCCTGAATTAAAAGCCTGGCTTGACTAACTCAATACTTATGCTCTTTCCACTATACCAGGATGAATACATGAGAGTCAATACCTATTGAATGTTTACAACATGTCTGGCTCTGTTCTAAGAGCTTCAGGGGCATTAGCTCATTCAATCCTCACATTAGTTAATACCCCACTTTATAGAAACAGAGATAACTACCCATAGTGGCAGCTAACACATGGAAAGGTCAGGATTAGAGCCCAGGTAGTCAGTGTCTGTGCTTCTCATCATTAACTGCTACTCTCTACCAGCCTCAAGATCCAGCTCCCTGACATTCTTTCAGTGGCTGAAAATAAGGGCAGCTTATTATCACATTTGGGATTAAGTTAAAAAAAAAAAAGGAAACAGGGGCAGCTACTGTGTGAGAGTTCAGTCTGCTCCCTGAAAATGACCCCAGCATGGTTTGGAAACTCAAAATTTCTAAAAACCCTGAGAGTACATGGGCATTGTTGGGGTCTGAAGGTATAGACTAGATTTGCTCAGTGACAAACTTAATTATAAACTTTATAATGGCTGCTTTCAAAACCAATCAGGTAATTCAGTCTTTTCTTGCTTAATTAGTTGCCACAAATTCACTCAATCCATTTAGTCAGTCAGTCATTCAAGACTTATTGAGTGTCCTCTATATGTCAGGTACTGTTAGGCACCAAGTGAAGAAAGAGGGATCCTTCGGGTCCAGACTCAGTCCTGGAGTGGCTCCAAATGTTAGAATTATGATTAGTGTTTCTTCCTATACTATACGGGATGGTGCTGAGATTCTAGATTTCGTGGCCCAGTTCTTTAGAGAAAAAAATTACTAACATGAAGAAGGGCATTAAATTGGGTCACCATTGCTTGAGGGAACTATTCCTTAAGAATATAGAACTTGCTTTGATTTTTTTTACACTCTAAGTGCTGCTCTAAGGTTTGATTTCCTGAGTGGACAAGACTATCAAGGCAAGAAGTCCCATGTAGGTGACAACTAGCAATATTTGGGCAGAAACATATCTCACTTTAATAAATGGGCATCTTAATGTAAAGCTGGATCTTAGACATGAACTAAATCAGTGGTTTTCAAACTGTGCTCCTAGGGCCTCATTTGCAATAAATGAACATTTTAAACTGCATGTGAAAACTGCATTTTTTGGATATCTGATTTATATATTGGAGTTTTGCAATTTAATTTCATTTAGGAAGAAGAAAAAAGAGCCCTTTTGCAAAATGTGAACACCTCTGAGATTTTCATTCATTTCTCTATTCACAAGGGACTAAGGCCTAGAGAGATGAAATGACTCACTGAAATGGCAGAGATAAATCGTAAACCTAGGTCATTACTCCCAGCCCAGTCCAATGCACAGATCTCCCCCTTTCTATCTACTACCCACTGTGTGTCTGGAGAGCATGGCACACAGGCCAGTGTAAATCTGGGTGAACTATGTCTTTGTAGTACTGCAAAAGCTGAGAATTCAGTTCCAAATGGTTCTGCAAAAATACTGACTGAGGACTATTTACTGTATATATGATTAAGTGCTACATAATCTACTATGTTCCTCATAATAATCCATGAGTTGGGCTGAGCAAATATCTCCCCAGCCCTCTCCTCAATTTTGCAAAAAGCAAAACAGTCTCAAAGCCGTTGACTTCTTTAAAGAAATGTATTAGTAGATAACAACAACAAAACAATCCAAAATTCCAATCTTCTGACTTTTAGGAAGACAGAGCTCTAACCATTATATTATATACTGTTCAAGCCAACTGGTAAGAATATGCAGTGCTTGTGCAGGCAGGAGAGCAATGATGTAATTAAATAGGACAGCTCCCAAAGTTGACAGGCATAAATGATGAAAGGCAAAGTTTAGATATCAACCTATGAGCCATGGACACCTGCAGAGTTTTAAAATTATTACAAAGGGACCTGAAGTCCCATAAGGTATGCTTACCTGAATAAGGTGGGTTGCACTGATATATACACCCAGACTTCAAATGGATAGAGATGCTCTTTTGTTTAATAAAGTATGCCTTCAATTAAAAGCATTACTGAAGCCAGATGTGGTACTGTGTGCCTACAGTCCCCACTACTTGCTACTCGGAAGGCTGAGGTGGGAGGATCACTTGAGCCCAGGGGTTCAAGTCCAGCCTGGGCAAAAAGCATTACTGAATTCCTAGCAATGTGTTTATCCTTATGTACTTTCAGTCAACTTTTACTAAAAGTACAAACACTATTATGTGCAACTCTGTGAAATTTTGTTGTTAAAAATGAAATCATAGTTGAAAATGTGGGGACTGTCTGTTCAAGGCTAAAATAAAGGGAACAGAACAAAATTAAGATGGGAAATAATTATTTTAAAACATATTTTGTATGTTTTCCTGTGTTTCTATTTTAAAGCTATATATCTAAATTATTGCTCTTTGTTTTCATGTTGAATGGCTGCTTCTTATCTGGCTTTGTTTATTAAGTGTGGTCAGATCATTTATTCTCAGAAAAGCTACCCTGTAGCCTGGCCCTACATTCCTCCAAGATAATATCATCTGCAGGACTCAAGTTTCTTGCCAGAGAGCTGATTTGCAGAAGTAAACAAACTGGGAGTAAAACCAAGAAATGTTAAAGAAACTTTCTGACTTAAGACATTGATAACAAAAACTATGTTAGCAATAAGTGTCTCTAAAAATATATAGAATATCCAGTCAAGCTGACCTACAGAATTGGAACAGTAAACAGAACACAAAAAGGGCTGTAAGCAATACCATCTAGGAACACAGAGGTAACAGATAGGGCTCCATGTCTGTCAGGGACTCCAGGAGGAACAGCTGTTCCCTTCTCTCAAAACAAACCATCCTCTGATGCGTTTCAGTTGCTTACCAACTCAGATCTGCTTTTGAGGAGTAAGCCAAACACACAGCCTCTGGTGATTTACCTTATAGAGGGCATTAGGGAAACTTAAAAAACAAATGTCAACTTGAAAAGGCCACATTTTATATCTTTCCTTCATCTCTGGCAGTATTCCGTTGTTGTTCCAACTACCCACCCCCTTGCCCTTCCTTACATTTGATTCTTTGTTAGATGAAGCATGGAGACAATGGAAAGCAACTGGGAAACAAACTAAACATTTCCTTCTGGAAATATTACCTACTTTTAAATAACCACTAGGGTCTATAAATATTTTCATTAGAAATTTGCCCTCCCTCCACACACACCAGTCACTTTGTGAAAAACCAATTTCTCCAAGTCAGAACCTAGAATTTATGGTCTCCTCTCATTGCACTACTAAAACCTTTCATATCCACAGTGAATCTAGGCTATTACCTCTGGAGACTGGAGTTCAGGGCCTCACTCATATATTTATCTCATGAACTAAACCCCTGTAATTCCCTGTGGAGTTGGGGTTTGGAGGCAGATGATAGAGAGGAAAGTTAGAGTTACAACCATTTGGTTCAATGTGGTAGAGCGCTGAATTGACTGTGTGATCTTAGGCAAGTCCCATAAGCTCTCTGGGCCCCAGATAACTCATGTGTAAGAGGAAAGGATCATACTAGATGACCTCCAACTTTGTATCTTCGAGGTACTGAATGGGAACCAAAGAGTAAAGGGAAGTCGCAAATAGAATTATGGATGTGGTAACTGAATTATTCCCAATTCTTCCCTCTCTCCCTGCGATAGAATTACAAAGCATTTGTCAAGTGGCTTGGCAGTACCTTCTATCAGAACGGGCAGAATATATGTAGCATTTCCCCACCTACTTCATATGGGGCTTGCCCGTGTGACTTGCTTTGACTGAAGTTAGTAGATGTGATGCAAGCAGAGGCTTTTTTTTTTTTTTAACTTTTATTTTAGGTTCAGGGGTACGAGTGCAGGTTTGTTATATAGATAAACTGCATGTCATGGGGGTTTGGAGTAAGGATTATTTTGTCATCCAGGTAGTAGGCATAGTACCTGATAGATAGTTTTTCGATCCTCACCCTTCTTCCACCCTCCACCCTCAAGTAGGCCCTGGTGTCTGTTTTCTCTTCTTTGTGTTTCCTTTTGTTGTTGTTGTTGTTGTTCCCTTCTTTGTGGCCACGTGTACTCCATGTTTAGCTCCCACTTATAAGTGAGAACATGTGGTATTTGGTTTTCTGTTCCTGTATTAGTTTGCTTCATTGTCGCACTAAGCAGAGGCTTTAAAAGTGGCTTTATTTCTTTTGCTTCTGTAATCTCCTGGCTAGCCACTGGTTCAAGAATGAGGAAAGGGGATGTTAAACTGACCAAAACCTTGAACAAGAAAAATAGACAGTTTTGTTTTAAGCTTCTAAAATTTGTGTTTGGTTATGTGGTACTATTGCAGCAGAAACACAAAAATCTCTGCTGAACTTTTTTCATATATTCTATCCAACAATATGCCTACTGACCTTAAAATTTTATTGAGCTGTTGAACTAAACTGAAATCATCTAGGCATCTTAGCTTGACCATGGAAATGTTCTCCTGATTAGCACCATCAGCAGGACGACTTTTGGTGCTGAGGATACTGCAAAACTAGAAATTAGTGTACTGAACTTTTTTATGTAAAAAAAAAAAAACACTGTGTTTTTAGCTATATTGAGAAACGATTCCTGTGAAATTGTACTGTGTTGGCTGTAAGGATGGTGGTCACTGTAA
Organism: Homo sapiens; assembly: GCF_000001405.40. NCBI lineage: Eukaryota > Metazoa > Chordata > Mammalia > Primates > Hominidae > Homo > Homo sapiens. The sequence goes on from NC_000006.12 coordinate 118,671,050, forward strand.
CTTACAGTGTAGTCTTTGTGGCAAACTTTTGGAGAAATTGCTCTCTGGTTTCAGCAACTGGAGAAACTATGTTATCGTAAGCAATTGGTTTGTTTGAATCTTATGGACAGTGGATCTCTATCTGGTTGTGAGCCCTCTTGAATTGCCTGGAAAATTCAGAGCCAAATATGTGGCCCTACATAAGCAAGTGGATGTAAGTGACTTTGCAGCATACGTTTTGTTTAGCAACTTCCCCTCCTTGTATTATTTTCTTTTTTCTACACTTATTTTCTCTTTTTCTGCATTCCTTGTAAATTGTTATCGTTATTATGTTAAGTATTAAGTATTATTTTATCATATACATTTATGTCAGCCACCTTAAATCCTTTTGGGAGCAGAACTGAGAATACATAAAGCACTACTGTTAATAAAAAAAATTAATTTCCGTTAGTAAAATGAAGAGAGAAATAAAATTTTATCAGTGACCCCTCAACCCTTTTGTTGTTGAAACTTACTAAGGATCTGGCGTTTCTCTATTCTGAAATATCTCCAGGTCAGTGTTGTGAATAAAGCACTGATATACATTGGTACCATTTCGAATTCATCATCAAAATAAATGTAAAGACAAGCTGGGCATGGTGGTTCATGTTTATAATTCCAGCACTTTGGGAGGCTGAGGAGGGTGGATCACTTGAGGTCAGGAGTTCGACACCAGCCTGGCCAACATGGTGAAACCCCGTCTCTACTAAAAATACAAAAATCAGTTAGGCATGGTGGCCTGTGCTTGTGATCCCAGCTGCTTGGGAGGCTGAAGCACGATAATTGCTTGAACACAGAGGTGGATGTTGCAGTGAGCTGAGATGGTGCCACTGAACTCCAGCCTGGGCGAAAGAGCGAGACTCTATCCCCCAAAAATAAATAAAAGGACAAAAATTGTCTTTCTTCAAGCTGTTTGAAATAGGGAGGAAGGTTTTTCTTTACAAATAATTTGACGTATTATTCTCTTTTTTTGTTTTGTTTTTGTTTTGAGACAGGGTTTCATCTGTTGCCCAGGTTGTAGTGCAGTGGTGCGATCTCAGCTCACTGCAACCTCTCCTTCCTGGGCTCAAGCGATTCTCCTGCCTCAGCCTCCTGAGTAGCTGTGATTACAGGTGCATGCCACCAGGCCTAGCTAATTTTCATATTTTTTAGTAGAGATGGGGTTTTGCCACGTTGGCCAGGCAAGTCTCGAACTCCTGGCCTCAAGTGATCTGCCCACCTTGGCCTCCCAAAATGCTGGGATTGCAGGCGTGAGCCACTGCGCCAGGCTTGATATATTATATTATTCTTTTAATTATTAAAGTTAATTTTTTTTAATATTTGTTGAATATTGACTATGTACTCAGATGGTGCTAGCTGTTATGGACGATATAAAGATATTAATAAATAAGATACTTGAATCTTTAAGATGCCCCATGGCCAGCCATTGTGGCTCACATCTGTAATCCCAGCACTCTGGGAGGCTGAGACAGGTGGATCACTGAGCCCAGCAGTTCGAGACCAGCCTGGGCAACATGGTGAGACTTCATTTCTACAAAAAATGCAAAACTTAGCTGGGCATGGTGGCACACACCTGTAATCTCAGCTACTCAGGAAGCTGAGACAGGAGAATCACTTGAGCCTGGGAAGCAGAGGTTGCAGTGAGCTGAGATCGTGTCTCTGCACTCCAACCTGGGCAACAAAGTGAGATCCTGTCTCAGAAGAAGAAAGAAGAAAGAAGAAGGAGGAGGAAGGAGGAGGAAGGAGAAGGAGGAGGAAGAGGAGGAGGAGGAAGAGGAGGAGGAAGAAGAAGAAGAAAAGAGAAGACAATGACAACGAAGAAGAAGAGAAAGAAGAGGAGGAGGGAGGAGGAGGAGGAGCTCCCATGTGTCTACATTACAAAGACAACTTGGTTTCCTTGGGTGTAATTGAGGTTCACTGCAAGAATGATGAAGAAAGATGAGGGAGGCAATGTGGAAGGACTAGCAACCTGCAACAGAAGCATGATCTGGCCTCCTGGTTCTAGTGCAGTGCTCTAATACATCAAGAGATTAGTTGCCAAGGTTGGGGGCAGGACAAGTATAGGAAACACCAGCATAAACACAAAATAAGAGTTAAAGATGAGGAAAATAGAAACTTGAACTAGTCAGGGTCACTAGATAAAAGCAAAGAATAATCAATAGAAACAGAGCCAAATCAGAAGCTGAAAGAATGGTTCTGATTCAAGATATTCATCTGAGTTTACATGTTTTAACTACCATTGAATATCCAAAGGGATATGAAAATATGAATTGGCACTTGCTGTGAAATTTAGAAGATTTCCAGTAAAGTGTTCTATGTTTACAGGCAAATGTGCCATATAGGGAAGTCAGAGAGGGGCAAATACCAGTCCCACCAGCAACTGTAGAAAGTCCAGTAAAGATAGAGTCTACACAAGGCAATATCTCATGGCATCCCAGCTTGCCCTTCATATAGACAGCGTACTGAGTAGTATCTCAGAAACCAGTGAGAAATTCTTTGGCACAATGGTGAGGTCTGTGGGCCCTACCACCTCTGCCCTACTCCCACAGACACTTGGAATGCCGATTTATTAAAGTAACTCTGGTAAATCTTGAAATTTCCTTTCTCCCATTGACTGTATCTAATATTTCAACAGGACCCCCAAACAATTCTGAAATTAACTGTGAACTCCACCCATGGACATAAACACAATCATCAGAATAAACAAACCAATGAACCATCTTCTAGATTAAAAGACTTAGTTGTAATGTAAAAAAGGAAATTAACCAGAGGAATAAACTTAAATGACCCCACTCGTGAAAGAGTTAATAATAAAACCAAAACAAAATAAAACAAAAATCTTTAGAAAAATCTCTAAATCTTAAAAAATCTAGAAAGATGCTGAGTTACCAACAAGATTCAAAAGAACATTACACCATATGCACACCATATGCAAAATTTAACACTAAATTGATCATAGGCCTAATTGTAAGAGCTAAAACTATAAAATTCTTACTAGAGAACAGGGGCATAAATATTTTTGACCTTGGAAAAGGCAGTGGTTTCTTAGATATGACACCAAAAACACGGATAACAATAGAAACAAAGAGATTGTACTTAAATAAATTGTACTTCATAAAAATTATGAATATTTGTGCTTCAAAGAAAACCTCAAGAAAGTGAAGAGAAAACCAGTGGGCTGGGCATGGTGGCTCACGCCTGTAATCCCAGCACTTTGGGAGGCCAAGGCGGGTGGATCACAAGATCAGGAGTTCGAGACCAGCCTGGCCAACATGGTGAAACACTGTCTCTACTAAAAATAAAAAAATTAGCTGGGCATGGTGACAGGTGCCTGTAATCCCAGCTACTTGGGAGGCTGAAGCAGGAGAATTGCTTGAACCCAGGAGGTGGACATTGTAGTGAGCCGAGATTGCGCCACTGTACTCCAGCCTGGGCGGCAGGGTAAGACTCCATCTCAAAAAAAAAAAAAAGAGAGAAAACCAACAGAATGAGAGAAAATATTTGCAAATCAAATAACTGATAAGGGATTTGTATCCAGGACTTTTACAACTCAACAACAAAAAGACAATCTGATTTTAAAGCTATCTGAATAGACATTGCTCCAAAGAAGATATACGCATGACCATAAAGCAAGTGAAATGATGCTCAACATTATTAGTTATTAGAGAAATGCAAATCATAACCATAATGAGACACCATGTCACATCCTGTAGAAAGGCTATCATTTTTAAAAAAGACATAAAAGGCATTGACGAGGATGTGGAGAAATTGGAATCCTCATACACTGCTGGTGGAAATGTAAAATGATGCAGCTACTTTGGAAAAACAATTTGGCAGTTCCTCAGAAAGTTAAACACAGACTTACCATATGACTTAGCAATTCTACTCCCAGGTATTTACCCAAGAGAAATAACATGTTTACACAATAACCTATATACAAACATTCATACCAACATTATTCATAATAGCCCAAAAATAGAAATAACTCAAATGTCTGTCAACTCATAAATGGATAAACAAAGTGTTACACACACACCCACACATGCACTCACATACAAGGGCATATTATTCAGCAATAAAAATGGAGTGCTGTTACATGCTACAACATGGATGAACTTTGAAAACATTATACTAAGTGAAAGAATCCCGACACAAAAACCACATATTTTATGATTCCACATAAAATATATACACTTTATATTATATATATTGTCTATATATATAGGCAAATTCATAGAAACAGTAGATTAGTGATTGCCAGGGGTTGAGGGAGGGGGCAATAGGGAGTGATTGCTAATGACTATGGGGTTTCCTTTGTGGATGATGAAAATGTTCTGAAATTAGATAATGTTGATGGTTGCACAACTCCAAAAAGGTACAACCATTAAAAACCGCTAGACTGTGCACTTTAAAAGTGTAAATTTTATGGTATCTTAAAAAACTATCAATCATTTAAAAATTACATTTTAAAATAGGAACAATTTAAGATTAGAAAAGATTCCTTTTGAAATAAAAATAAGATTGCTAGAATTAAAAAAAAAAAATGACATGGAAGCTGGGCACAGTGGCTAACCCTTGTAAACCCAGTGCTTTGGGAGGCTGAAGTGGGAGGACTGCTTGAGACCAGAATTCAAAATCGGCCTGGACAACATAGCGAGACCCCAAGGCAACCCAGTAAGACCCTGTCTCTAAAAGAAAAAAATGAAATGGAAGCAGTAAAGAGCAAAATTGGAAAGTGACAAAAATCAAATCAGTGAATTTGAAGAATTCAGAGAAAAGTGATAAAGGAGTGAATAAAATGAGAGAAAAGATGATGTATTAATGGAAGACGATGATGGATCTAGAATATCTGATAAAAGATTTCAAAGAGAATGAACAATAATAAAAGAGATAATTATTTCTAATTTCCCAAAGAAGATCAAGCCAAGTTAAGATCCAATCAGGTGAAGAGTTGTTTTTTGATTGTATTGTATTACTATTGTTATTGTCGTTATTACTATTTTTTTTACTATTATTAGTCAGCTTGAAATGTCTATTTTTAACTGACAAATAATAATTGTATATATTTATGGGCACATTATCATGTTTTGATCTATGTATACATGGTGGAATGATTAAATCAAAGTAATTAGTAAAGCCATCACCTCACCTACTTAACATTCTTCTATGGTGAGAACATTTAAAATCTACTTAGATTACTGAAATTTATTCCTCCTATCTAACTGAAACTATGTACCCTTTGACCAACATCTCTCCTTTTCCCAACCCTACCCTCATCCCCTCTCTAGCCGTTGGTAAGCACCGTTCCACTTTCTGCTTCCATTAGTTTAACTTTTTTTAGATTCCACATTATCATTGACTTCATGCAATATTTGTCTTTCTGTGCCTGGCTTATTTTACTTAGCATAATGTCCTCCAGGTATAAACCTGCATATTGTTGCAATGACAGAATTTCCTTCTTTCTTAAGGCTGTATGGTATTCCATCATGCTTATATACCACATTTTCATTATTCATTCACCCACTGACACTTCAGTTACTTCCGTATCTTTACTATTGTGAATAGTGCTACAATGAACATTGAAGTGCAGATATCTCTTTGACATATAGATTTCAAGTCCTTTGGATATATACCCAAAAGTGGGATGGCTGGATTATATGATGATTCTGTTTTTAGTTTTTTCATAAGCCTCCATATTATTTTCCATAATGGTAATGCTAATTTACATTCTCATCAACAGTGTACCAGGGTTTCCTTTTCTCTACGCCCTTGTCAACCCTTGTTATCTTTTGTCTTTTTTTAAATGATAGCCATTCTAACCGGTGTAAGACGATATCTCATTGTGTTTTGAATTTGCATTTTCCTAACGATTAGAGATACTGAGCATTTTTTTTCATTTCTCTGTTGACGATATGTATGTCTTCTTTTGACAAATGCCTGTTAGCTTCAACTTGTTGCCTAGAAAATTATGGAGTCTACTTCATGTTGTATTACAGTAGAACATTAAGGTATGATCCTGGAAATCAGGGTCCCAGCTCTGTTACTTATCACTAATGTAGCTTTGGGCAAATCATTTCACCTCTTTGGGACTCAAGTTCCTCATCTGCTTAAAAAAAATGAAAGGAAAAGCTTGAACTAGATGACTTTAACACAATTCCTTAATCAAAAGATATGAGCCAGGAGACAGATAGAAAGTAAGGCAAGAAAGCTAGACAGCAGAAGATAATAAGGAAGTCCTTATCTACCAGAACTAAAATTTTGAGGGTGACGTGAGAAGGGGGCGAGCTGTACAAGCAGTCCTGACACTGTCCGTAGTCCTGAAGTGTCATTATTTTGTCTGGCTGCCAGTTGGAGGAGTTGGGAATTGCTTAGGTAAGCAGTATGGAGATCTGACAATTTTAGCGCAGAACAGTGAAACTGAGCTCATTCACATCTGTGTATTTAACTACTACAGATTCTGATGATTCCCAACCCTATATCTCTAGCATTGACCTTCATCCTGATCTCCCAATACATGTTTTCCACTGTCTACCAAGTATTACCAGCATTTTTACTGTATTGAATTTACTTCAAACTCAACAGGTACAAAAGTGAACTTATCATATTCATTAATGATCCTTCTTCTTCTCCTGTATTTTCTATCTTGATTAGTGATACCAAGATGTATCCCTTTCCCCAAGCCAAAGAACTAGGAGACTTCCATGATTTTACCATGCCCACCACCTATAGTCAATCACCAAGTGTGTCCTGCCAATATTGCCCATAAATACATCTTACATTCATCTCTTTCTCTCTACCCCACTGTGGATGGATTTATTTAGGTTATAAATGTTTCTTGGTTGGACTACCATAACATCCTCTTCAATAATCTTGTCTTCAATTTTGCACCCTTCTAATTTACATTTATGATCAAGCTATTTCCCTGCTAAAAGCCTTCCCTGGCTTTAGTTGTTTATAGCACAAAATCCAGGTTACTCAGAATGGCATTCAAGGACACTTCATAATTTGTACAGGGAAGAAAATTCTGAAACAGGATATTTATTAGGGAGTTCCCAATGGATCAACATCTGTAGAAAAATGGAGAAGGAAACAGAATTAGGTAAAAGGAGAAGTTGAGCTATGATCCAGCCCCAATAAAGGTTGCTCAGCCCACCCGTTGGGTAGCTCTGGAACTGGACTGGCTGCTCAGAATTGTTCCAAGTTGGATCAAGTGGGAGCCACGGCTTTGTAAAACACACTGGTCATGCATTGGATGCAAGATGTCTTTGGAAGGAAGAAAGACTTGGGTAATGCTACAATTTGAGGGTTGTCTTCTGGCATCATTGTCAGAAACTGGGAGAATAAGTCCTTCATTCCCAAAGGCAGATCTCAGCAGCACATCAGAAAATCCACCAGCCACCGTATATTTGTCTACCTCTACACATCCTCCTCTGTACTTCCTTGACTCTCTGCATTTACTTTATCATACCATTTACTGAACTCTATTTTATTGCCTCTTTACTTTTCTGTATTCTTCACTAGACTGTGAACTCTGTGCAACAAATGCTGCTACTATATAAATCATTGCTTTATCCTCAATGCTTGCAGCATTAAACAATTTATAAAATAAAACATTAAGCACTTTGAGAGGCTGAGGCTGGCAGATCATGAGGTCAAGAGATCGAGACCATCCTGGCCAACATGGCGAAACCCCATCTCTACTAAAAATACAAAAATTTTCTGGGCATGGTGGCAGGTGCCTGCAGTCCCAGCTACTTGGGAGGCTGAGCCAGGAGAATCTCTTGAACCCGGGAGGTGGAGGTTCCAGTGAGCCCAGATCGTGCTACTGCACTCCAGCCTGGCAACAGAGTGAGACTAAGAAAATATTAAATGAATGAATGCATATTTCCTTTCTCCCCACTCTTTACTCCCTGTTGCTCTAGTAAAACCAAACTACTTGAGGTTTCCTGAATTTTCCAAGCCTTTCTTTGAGGCCATGCTTTGGGTGTGCTAGAATGCCTTTGACTTAGTCATCAGCTGAATATCTACTTCTCTTTCAAAAGTCAATTCAATTGTTACCTTTGGAAAACTTTCCCCAGGCACAGTCACAATCTTCATTCTCTGTTTCCTGAGAACTCATTTTGTACCAACTATTATACTCCTATTATTTTTAATTTACATGTCTGATTATTTTCAGGAGATATGAGACCTTGAGCCTCATCTATTTTGTGTTCTTAGCACCTAAAGAGACCTGGCACAAGATGAAGAAAAAAAGAATGAACAATAAATATGTGATTAAAGGTTAGGCTCTAGGATTACTAACCAGGAAGTAATGTGCAGAATGAACTAAAAGGAAAGGAGTTATATGGGAGAAAATTGTTAGTTTATACAAGAGGCATGTGACTGTGGACACTGGATTTGCTATAATTCCTTATTCCTGAAGTTAGTTTTTTCCACATGCAAATTGAAGAGCAGAATGATGATATTAGCATAGTTGTAACTTTGCCTAACATGTCTTAGTCATGTAGTGTCCCAGTCTACTTATGCAATGCTAGTGTAAGGGTGTCAAAATCAAATGCCTTCAGGGGCCAGGAAGAGTACCTAAATGTCTAAATGTTCGGTGGGCCTATAGGAAACAAAGGGCCCACTTGAGGGGCATTCAATTTCAGTTTTTAAATAATGTGGTCACCAAACAGAACAAGTGTTTGGGCCTGACATGGCCTGCAAACCACCAGTTTGCCTCCTCCTCTTTTACACATTTTGAAATCACATTTTTTTTTAACTACAATGGAACTGAGTGGGAGGAGATATGAATGACATTTTCATCCTTGCAGAAAAAGAGGGTGTTTCTATATTTCTAATAAAAAAGTAGAATTATTTTTGAAGTGGCTTCCTTCTCTGCCAGGAAGCCAGGAAATCAGATTAGAAATTTCATTGGCATTAAAAAAAAAAAAGATGGCAGGGTACAGTGTCTCATGCCTGTAATCCTAGCATTTTTGGAGGCCAACGCAGGAGAATCACTTGAGGCCAGGAATTTGAGACCAGCCTGGGCAACACAGTGAGACCCCCACCCCAGCTCCAAAAAAAAATTTAAAAGTATTCTGGGCATGGTGGCATGAGCCTGTAGTCCCAGCTACTTGGGAGGCTGAGGTGAGAGGATCACTTGAGCCCAGGAGGACAAAGTTGCAGTGAGCCCTGGTCATACCACTACACTCCAGCCTGGGGAAAAAAAAAAAAAAAGAATCTTTCCTTGGTGTTGCTTTTTTTTTTTTTTTTTTTTTTTTGACAAAGTTTATTTTCTTCTTATTAAAAAAAAAAATCTGTTAACATATTTCAAAAATATAGAAAAGTTCAAAAATAATCCCTCAAAATTCCAACCAGTGAACAACCTTGACTATCATTTTAGTTTATGCATCAGATATTAGGTGGGATTGTAGGACTGACATGTGTACTCAGAACTAGGTGGCAGGTAAGCAGGAAAGCAATTTATTTCTAACCAGCTGGGTTTCTGTAACTAATGATCTAACACAGCTAATAAAGACATTCTGGGCAGGGCACAGTGGCTCACGCCTATAATCCCAGCTTTTTGGAAGGCTGAGGCAGGCTGATAGCTTCAGCCCAGGAGTTGGAGACCGGCCTGGGCAACATGGCAAAACCCTGCCTCTACAAAAATACAAAAATTAACTGGTTTGGTGGCACACACCTGTGTGTCCTCTGCTACTCCGGAGGCTGAGGTTGGGGATCACTTGAGCCCAGGAGGTCGAGGCTGCAGTGAGCCAAGATCATGCCTCTGCACTCCAGCCTGGGCGACACAGTGAGACCTTGTGTCAAAAAAAAAAAGACACTCTGAGATGACTCTAAAGTGCCTGACTAAAACCAGATAGCCACAGGGCCTGACAACGAGGAGGAGTTTACTGCTGCGCTACTATTGCTGAAACGGAACTTGGTTTTGAATCCACAACAGAACTATTGTGCGTGTGACATTTGCTTTGAGAAATGAATACTGGGTTGACAGTACACAAGAGCTTTTCAGTCTAGTCCATAAAGAACTTTCACTTGATTGCCAGCTTTTTACCAGTAATTCAACATAGAAAAGTACAGTTTTTGACCTTAAAACTTTGAATGCAATTCCTAAAATTAAAAGATGTGGATTTATATAAGTCAAATGAGAAGACATTACAATAAACAGAGCCACAGGTTTTGTTTGTTTGTTTTTTACAGGAAATTGTGTTGTGTTTACATTTAGAGCATTCTGTGCTGAGGTATTCTCTGGCTCATATATAGAATCATAAGGGAGAGAGGAGTTGAGAAGTAGTTCCCTAGAAGAACTAGAGAGAGAGATGTAATTATCCCTGATACTAATTAGCAGAGATCTGGAATGAAAAAAACCTCAATAACCTCATATTCAGACGATTTTTTCAACATGTTCATTATTAATAGTAAGCAGACCTCATGTTAATTTTGAAGAACACTTAACAGATTTCAAAATATCTGAAGTTCCTCTATTTTTTTCCTAATGAATTTTAAAATTTTTGTAATTTTTAAAAATAGTATTTTGGACTTCCCTCGAAATTTTCCTGCAATGTCACTGGTATATTTGGGGATAGAGTTTTAAGAATATCCCCAGTGAGGGTTTAGAAAAATTTAATTCATTATAAATAGATCTATTTTACCTTAATTATTATTCTATTATAATTATTTCTTTTTTTTTTTTTTTTTTTGAGACAGAGTCTCGCTCTGTTGCCCAGGCTGGAGTGCAGTGGCACAATCTGCAACCTCCACCTCCTGGGTTCAAGTGATTCTCCTGCCTCAGCCTCCCGAGTAGCTGGAATTACAGGCATGCCACCATGCTTGGCTAATTTTTTTGTATTTTTAGTAGAGACGGGGTTTCGCCATGTTGCCAGGCTGGTCTCAAACTCCTGACCTCAGGTGATCCACCTGCTGTGGCTGGGTGGGATTACAGGCGTGAGCCTGGGATTACAGTGCTGGGATTACAGGCGTGAGCCACCGCACCCAGCCTGTTATAATTACTTCTAATCATAATATTTCTTACTTACAGGCCACCTCATGTTCAGACCATTTTTTCCATATGTAATTAGAAATATAAAGCCTGTATTGCACTTAAATATCATTATACTGTTTTAACATATTTTCATCTACATTAAAATTCACTTTAAAATTATTAGTCTTAGAAAAACAATCAAAGAAAAATAAAGTATGGTGTCTCCAAGGTTTTGGATATTCTAAAAGGAAGTAGCTGTTCTTTCAAGCTAAATATCATAAACTGATTTTATTAAATAAGGTCTTACATTTTGTAGTGGCAGCAGTTTATAAATACAGGCTTACTAATTCATTGCTTTCTTTTATTCATTAGTTATGTTTTGGTACTTTATTTAAGTACCCGAGTGGATTATACTAGATGCTGCGATTCAGAAACACAGGCTGTCTACAGGTGAGACACAAGTTTCACCTCCAGGGGTACACAGTTTAATTGCAGCAAAATGTTTTAAAGAAGGAATGCTTCACTGTGGAAAAAGGAAACAAGTGGCTTGTTACCCAAAGAGCACAAGGAACCCCTCCACTGTTGAGTTGTTCACATTTTCTTGGTTTATGCTTCAGGTAGAGGTAAGTGAAGCTTCAAATAATATTATGCCCTAAAGCTTCAAACTGGAAGAAAAAAAAAAAGCCCTTGCACCCCTGAAATATGCATGCATGCCTGAGCATGCACACACACACACACACACACACACACACACACACACTTTTACCTTGCTCTAAATTTTTGCTCATGTACTTAGTAATAAAATGTTATTTTTAGAGTTCACAGCCCCAATATGGAAATGTGTCTAGAGCTTGGATCTAGAAGTTTATGTCTTTCTTGAAGTTCCTGGGTCGTAATAACCACAGTGAGGACAAAGGCACCAGAACAATGCCAAACCAGGAGATATGGCCTGAATTAGAAGGAAGACAAGTTTTTATCAGGCATAACAATGAAAGAAGTTGAAACCATGGAGTTATTATTAAGAGAAGTTGTGGAGTAGTTATTCCTGGTAGCCTCTAAGTAGCAGTTGGTCCTAAATCACAAAGGTGTGTATTTTTCTAGAGATTCCAGACAAGATAATTTTGAGGGCTCTTATACTATGATTATAAAAACCTAATAACTATGTTTTAATGTAGTGCATTGTGTTTTTACCACTTAAGATGGCAGTGATTTCATCAGACAGCTTTCTTTTGGGGAGACTTCCAAACCAATCTTTGGGGGAGAATCTAATCTCTTTTTTGCCAAGCTGGTGAGGTTTTCTTCCCCCACATTGAATGTTTATATGGAAAGATATGAACCATAAACATTTTTATATAAAAACTTATTCTTTTTGCTTTTTATTGGCTGCATTGTAAGGAGTCATTTGGCCTAGAGGGAAAGGAGGGTAACATTCCCTATGGCAAACTACAACGAATCTTCCTTCTCCTTTCCCAACTCCAGCAGTAATGATGGAAAATCAGTGCAGCATCCTAGTGCATTCGCAGTGTGGTTTGACAAAGACCATAATGTTCTTGTCAACATAGGTAACAGATCAATGTCCATCTGTAGATTCCAGTACTTTTTCTTACTAAGAAGTGATTAACAGCTGGATGTAATATGTCTACTACAGCTACCTAGTTTTGTAAAGCATATAGTTAATTAAAGGGCAGGAATCAAAAACATGATCAACTCTGTAAAAGCCCTGAGCTTACTCAGCTGCTTCTTGCAAACTTCAACCTGTGGGGTAAAGAGACATTTGTTGGGTCATGGCATGCTTGCCTCTGAAGAAGATCATTTCAAAGACTGGGCCTTTTTTTCTGGTAGCCTAGATGCAGGACACAGAGTTGCTCATTTTGCCAGAGTCTCTTTTTGCCTTGCCAAACTGACTTTTCTTTCAAAAAACTATGTGGAAAATTAATGTGTAACTTTTCAATGATAATATTTTCTCTTTGTTTGGTTTTCCCCAATGATTTCATATCTATACTAAACATCCATCCCAAATAAGTTACACAGGAAGTGGAGGCCAAAGCTAAAACAAACTCACACCCATTTCTCTGGCAACCTATTTAAAAAATAGCGATTAAAAATCAAAACATTAAACATAACCCTTTCTGGCGAGATAACTCTCCCCTAGGTTACATTAGAAAACACCCCCCTACGTTTACATGGCATCTTTGCTGTTTATGATCTTAGTTTTCATTATTGTGGCCTAACAAAAATGTATAAAGCTTAAAGACCAGCTGGAGCAACATAGCAAGACCCGAGCTCTACAAAAAATTTAAAGCATTGGCTGGGCATGGTGGCGCATGCCTGTTAATTACTAGGGAGGCTGAACTGGGAGGATGGCTTGAGCAATCCTCCTATAACCAGGAGTTCAAGGTTACAATGAGCTATGATCACATCACTTCACTCAGGCCTAGGCAACAGAGCCCGACCTGTTTCTAAAAAAGAAAGAAAGAAAGAAAAAAAGGTTTACAGATATTTTGACACTGCAAAGAAATCTCATAAATATCTCATAAATTATTAGTGACCTGCAGGAAATGAAAGCTCAGCGTTGCTTCTTTTTTCACCGCTCCTGATGGGGCTGAACAGTTTCTTTACACCCTTGAATGCAGTCTGTCGTGGCATGTGGGTGTACATCCTTCTCTCTTAAGACAAGATGTAATAGTAACCCATGATCTTGTAATCTCACATAACAAGGCATTTTGATCTGCAGTCCTGGTTGTTTTCTTTAAGCTAAATTTTATTTTTTATTATTATTTTTTTTTAGAGACAAGATCTCACTATGTTGCCCAGGCTGGTCCTGAACTGCTGGGCTCAAGTGATCCTCCCACCTCGGCCTCCCAAAGTGCTGGGATTACAGGTGTGAAGCACCGCGCCTGGCCCCTTTAAGCTGAATTTTAAAGGAACTTAGAATCTCATTCTCTTACATTTTTATAACCAAGAAATGAACCCTGACGGTAAAGACTATTAATATACTAATTATTCCCAGCATTATACACTTCATGTGAAAGGCAGATGAAGAAAATGAAGAACCTGTCTTCTGTTCAACTAAAAGGGAAATTTAGCTTTACTTAGTTGTATCTGTAATTGTCCTTTTGTTTTTAAGAATATAAGAATATAAAGAATATAAATAATTGCAATAAAACAACATAAGAAGTTGACCAATGGAACAAGAATAGTATAGCACTTAGTAAGATGTACAGATACTATTTTAAGTACCTTGTTTTAAAGTTAAGTAATGACAGCCTCCAGTTAATAAACCAGAAATAAACTCTAACCATTATTTCTTGGATTTCAGATATTTTTTTCTTTATAGAAATAATGTGATGTATAGTGTTCCTTTTACTGGGTCAGCCAACAAAAGTATTTACGTTGATATAAATAAAATACTTTTTGTAATCAAATATTCTAGCTCACAATGAAAAATAATTTTAAAATGTGATTATTTAGTACAAGTAAACAAACTTTAAAAATACAACAACAAGATTTTTATTTTTCATGAAATAAACAACAGTGAGTAGAAGGAAATTTTGAGGATGTTCTTGAGAAGAACTTTTTGACACTTTAGAAATTGATAGACAAAGCACAACTTAGACTTTCCTTTCACTTGATACTAATATGCCCCCAATCCTGTTCTCCCATCATTATAGTTATTTTTAGGGGTCACAAATGGAACAAACATAAAGAAAGAATGAGGGATGACAGTGGAAAAAATGGAGGTGGAAAAGAGAGGAAGAAAGGAGAAAAAGGAGGAAAAAGGTAGTAAAAAATGTTCTTGAAACAGTTGGCAATAGTTACAAAAGTGAGACGAAAAAGTGCACGGGTTAAAGATGATAAAAACATTGCTTAAGGAAGAACCAAGCAACCTGAGAGTTCTGAAAATAGGGGAAATGGGGAATGCTTGGAATGTGTATGATCTCCCCAGAGGAAACAATGTTGAGAAAGAAAGGAACTCGATTCATTCCCAAAGTGGGCCACTGGGTGACCATGAAAGGCCAGCGCAGCCTGGTGCTCTCTTGACCAAGGGAAACGTGGGTTGGAGGAGTAACTTCAGGTAAAATCAAGGTCTGTGGAGATGGAGGGTCCATGTGCTCGGAAGATATATGTTCTAAATGTAGCAACACATGTTTTTTTTTTTTTAGAAACAACTTTATTGACGTATCATTTAAATACCTTTAAATTCACCTGTTTTAATTGTACAGTTCAATGATTTTTGGATGTACTGTTGTGCAACCATCACCACAAACCAGTTTTAGAACATTTCTCTCACTCCAGTAAAATCTCTCCTGCTTCATTACACTTACTCTTTGTTCTCACTCCCAGTCCCAGGCAATCACTAATCTGCTTTCTCCATATATAGATTTTCTTTTTCTAGATATTTTATATAAATAGAATCATGCAATGTGTGGTCTTCTGTGTCTGTATTCTTTCTCTTAGCATGTTTTTGATGCTATCCATGTTGTAGCATGTGTCAATATTTATTTTTATTATTAAATGGCTTTCTATTCTGCTTGAAGATAAACACATTTTGTTTTTCCATTCACTAGCTGATGGTCATTTGAGTTATTTCCACCTTTTGGCTATTATAAGTAATTCTGCCAAGAACACTTGTGTGTTGAGGTCTTTGTGTGGACACCTACGTGCATTTCAAGCAAAACGTAACTAAGAGATCCACCTGCTCATGGAAAAGACAAATATTTAGGCCTGTTGTGTTCTACAATTCTAGGATCCAAAACTTCACATACACACTCTCCACATGGCAACCAGAATGGACTTTTTAAAACAGAAAATCAGATCACATCTCACCTGATTAAAATTTCCCAGAGGTTTCCCATCATACTGAGAATGAAGCCTACATGCCTTTCCATAGCCACAGGACTCTACCTCATCTGACCTCAGCTGACATGTTTCACTTTATCTCGTAACCACTTCTCTTACTCTCAACTTCACTCATATTGATCTTGTTGCTCCTCAAATATAAAAGCTTATTCTGACCTCAGGGCTCATACATAGTCTGTTCCATTTGCCTGGAATACTTTTCCCTAATATTCATTTGACTCAATCCTTCTCATCCAGGTCTCCCCTCAAATGTCATTCATGTAGAGAAGCTTTTGATGGCTGCCCTATCTAAAACAGCAGCCATATCTCTCACAATACTACCTTTGTTTTTCTTGAGACAGAGTTTCACTCTTGTCACCCAGGCTGGAGTGCAATGGCGTGATCTCAGCTCACTGCAACCTCCGCCTCCCAGGTTCAAGTGATTCTCCTGCCTCAGCCTCCCAAGTAGCTGGAATTACAGGCACCTGCCACTGAGAGACAGGACTAGCTGGATTTCCTAGGCTGACTAAGAATCCCTAAGCCTAGCTGGGAAGGTGACCGCTTCCACCTTTAAACACGGGGCTTGCAACTTAGCTCACACATAACCAATCAGATAGTAAGGAGAGCTCACTAAAATGCTAATTAGGCAACAACAGGAGGTAAAGAAATAGCCAATCATCTCTTGCCTGAGAGCACAGGGGAAGGGACAATGCTCGGGATATAAACCCAGGCATTCGAGCCGGCAACAGCAACCCCCTTTGGGTCCCCTCCCTTTGTATGGGAGCCCTGTTTTCACTCTATTAAATCTTGCAACTGCACTCTTCTGGTCCGTGTTTGTTACAGCTCGAGCTGAGCTTTTGCTCGCCGTCCACCACTGCTGTTTGCCGCCGTTGCAGACCCACGACTGACTTCCATCCCTCCAGATCTGGCAGGGCACCTCCTGATCCAGCGAGGTGCCCATTGCCACTCCCAATCGGGCTAAAGGCTTGCCATTGTTCCTGCACGGCTGAGTGCGTGTGTTCATCCTAATCAAGCTGAACACTAGTCACTGGATTCCACAGTTCTCTTCCATGACCTGCGGCTTCTGATAGAGCTATAACACTCACCGCATGGCCCAAGATTCCATTCCTTGGAATCCGTGAGGCCAAGAACCCCAGGTCAGAGAATACAAGGCTTGCCACCATCTTGGAAGCGGCCCGTCGCCATCTTGGAAGCGGCTTGCCACCATCTTGGGAGCTCTGTGCGCAAGGACCCCCCAGTAACACCACCACACCCGGCTAATTTTTGTATTTTTAGTAGAGACAGTTTTCACCATGTTGGCCAGGCTGGTCTTGAACTCCTGACCTCAGGTGACCCACATGCCTCGGTCTCCCAAAGTGCTGGGATTACAAACATGAGCCACAGTGTCCAGTCCTCTGTTTTATTTTTAACTGAAAAGTCTGAAACTTATTGCTTGCTGTCTCCCAAACAGAATGCAAGCTCAGTGGGGCAGGTACTTTGTTTATCTTTTTCACTGATGTATCTCCAGCACCTAGCATATGGTAAATGTTCATTAAATTTGTTAAATTAATGCAGAAATGAAAAGCAGAAATTGGACCTCTTCTTACAGTTCTATACTTTATCCCTAGAATTTCTGAGAAGTCAGTTTGATCATGCAATGTATTCAGTTTGTAAATTTATATTTTTATTTATCTATTTATTTTCGAATAAACCTTTTGCAGTCTTATCAGTTTGTGAATTCCTAAGCCAACTGACCACAAGTCTAATACTGACAAATCATGGGCCAGATTTGGTCCTCACATCTATCTGTTTGATGTAGCAGGTACGTTGGAGCCTCCTTTCCATTTCTTTGGCCCACTCCTATTTCAGCTGCAGCTGCAGTGAGAGTTCCCTAGGAGCTCAGGCTCACCTCATTGACAGGATCACACCTCAGGCAGCTAAAGAATTATTCCATTTTTCTGCCTTGGGCCTCTCTTATGCCCTAGAGCCATTGGGCATGTGTGTGGACCACTTCCGGACCATGTTTATGTTCCCCAGTGCAAATATCAGCCATCAGCCAACATGGGAACCACCTTCATCCACACTTCCTTCAAATGGAAAGCTCTGGAAGACATTTACACTTCCCAGTAGTCCCAGCAGAACTGATGCGCTCTTCCCTTCAGCAGAGACTTGAATAACACCTTCTTGTACTGACTTCTCCTGTGTCATACTCCCTGTTCCTTTACTTATGTTTTCTGGGATTACCTCGCCACTACACACAATCTGCAGCCAAGTCTTTGTCTCAACCTCTGCTTTCAGGGGAAGCCAAATTAGGCCTATGAGTTACATCATTAAAAAAATTTGTAAAATAATTGTTCAAATTTAAGCTTGAAATATTTCAAGTTAAATTCTGAGTTCTTAACTTCCTACTTTAAGGTGCTGCATGTAACTTCACATACAATAATTTTTATGGTTCTTATTTGGTAAGGAAAATTATTGTCCATTAGCTTGTTTTCAAAACTTCAACCTTTCAGGTGTTCATAGGTCATTTCAAGTGTTTTGTGAGGAAAATGGTCTCAAAATCTCTAGTCTGTTAGGAATGAGAAGAGATGGGGAATTCTTTTTACTATAGAATGTAGCAGGAAAAAAATTTAAGGAGTTTTTTGCTTCATTAGATTTGCTGTGGAATGAGAAATCAATAAATTAATGACTACAGTGCTAAAATAAATAATTGATCAGTGCTTGTGAATATGATCTCCTCTTCATTACTAAACCAACTCAGCCTTATCGTTTCCAAGCTAAGGTAATTGTAACCTGCAACCAGCAGAAGAACCAACCATTTTGTTTTGGTTTGAAGCCTCATGAGTACAATTCGTTCATTCAAGCATTTAGTAATATTAATAAAAAGAGATGAATTGCAATAGTGATGCATTCTTGCCTCTTCACAACATGTTTTGCTTATAAGAGGACATTATCTTCCCCCCTTCAGTGGAGTCAGTTATTTGCAGTTCTTGTCCCAGGTATAGTTTTACATGCTAATCCCTGCCTGCTTTTTTTTTTTTTTTTTAATAGGGCTAGGGTCCCACTATGTTGCCCAGGCTGGTCTGGAACTCCTGGCCTCAAGCAATCCTCCTGCCTTGGTGTGCCAAAATGCTGGATTACAGGCATGAGCCACCATGCCTGGCCCTGATTCCTTCCTTCTGAGTAGCTCAGTTTACTTAAAAGCAACTCTTTATCCCTGAAGCAGTCTTGGCATTTGATCTTATTTAGGATGCAGATTCCCCTAATATTTTGGAGACCATTTTCTACACTTCTGGTGATTGATACAATGCCTCAGTTTGCTTATGACTGAAACAATCTTGTAATTTATGATTCCTCATTCTTCTGTGTCTGACTTGTAGACCATATCAAATTTGTCATGTCTAACTATAACTCTAATACTCTCCTGCTCTTTTATACCCAAATCTTCAGAATGAATATTGGGAATACCATATTATACATGGATCTCTAACTTTTTGAATGACCTGAAGCTTTTCCTTTAAGGAAATACCTCTCTGCTCCCTGGCCGGACTCTGAATCCCATGACATTATGGTCCCTTCCACAGGAGTGAGTCCATCATCCAGACTGCTCAATCACCGCACTCCACCATCAGTTCCAGGATTGGTTCAGGGAGCCACACTGGCCCAACCAGTTATGTAACTTTGCTGAAACCATTAGGAGAGAGGTTACATCTTTTTCTTTTCATTGGGATTGCTCTAGTTAAACATAAATCCAAAGCTGCTGGTGGCCATTTTTGCCAAAATATGGGGAATTTTTCTTTAAAATTGACTCAGTAGAAAGAAAAGAAAGGGCTTGGCATAGTGGCTCATGTCTCTAATCCCAGGGATTAGGGAGGCAGAGGCAAGAGGATCGCTTGAGCCCAGGAGTTGGAGACCAGCCTGGGCAACATATTGAGACCTCATATCCAAAAATAATAAAAAATTAGCTAGACATAGTGGTGACTCTCTGTGGTCCCAGCTACTCGGGAGGCTGAGGTAGGAGGATCACTTGAGCCTGGGAGGTAGAGGCTAGAGTGATTGTTATCACACCACTGCATTCCCACCTGGGTGACAGAGTGAGACCCTGTCTCAGGAAAAAAAAAAAGAAAGAAGGAAAGAAAGAAAGAGAAAGATAAAAAGAAAGAGGGAGAGACAGTTTAAAAAAAAGAGACTGAAAAAGAGAAAAAGACAGACAAGGAGTAAAAGTCTCTGTCAAATGACAAAGGAGGCCAGGCGTGGTGGCTCATGCCTGTAATCCCGACACTTTGAGATGCCAAGGCAGGTGGATCACCTGAGATCAGGAGTTCAAGACCAGCCTGGCCAACATCATGAAACCCCATCTCTAGGCCAGGCATGGTAGCTCACGCCTGTAATCCCAGCACTTTGGGAGGCCAAGGCGGGCGGATCACCTGAGGTTGGGAGTTCAAGACCAGCCTGACCAACATGGAGAAACCCCCATCTCTACTAAAAATACAAAATTAGCCAGATGTGGCGGTGCATGCCTGTAATCCCAGCTACTCAGGAGGCTGAGGCAGGAGAATCGCTTTAACCCAGGAGGCGGAGGTTGCAGTGAGCCAAGATCGCAGCATTGCACTCTAGCCTGGGCAACAAGAACAAAACTCCATCTCAAAAAAAAAAAAAAAAGAAAGAAACCCTGTCTCTACTAAAAAATACAAAAAATTAGCCAGGCGTGGTGGCAGGCAGGCGCCTGTAATCCCAGCTACTTGGGAGGGTGAGGCAGGAGAATCCCTTGAACCCCGGAGGCGGAGGTTTCAGTGAGACAAGATCGCACCACTGCACTCCAGCCTGGGCAACAAGAGCAAAACTCCATCTCAAAAAAAAAAAAAATGACAAAAGACAGGCATCATTTAAACCTCTGTGCTCAGCCACACCTGAAGCAAACAAGATCTGTCTTTTCCATTTTCTTAGACAAAGAATTTTTCTTTGCAAAATTACATGACTTATTTTTCTTAAGCAACTTTGAGGTAAATTTTTGTTACCTGCACTTGGAAGATGCCTAATACTTGCTATGTCTACTTGGAGTAGGATTGCTTGGGTTCGGCTATGTCCCTAGAGATGTCTTTTCTTCCTCCATGAAGCTTGTCGTTATTACCAGGATCAATTATCTGGAGAGGAGGGAGGCCCTCAGGTAGCAACTCAGGGCGAGGGGACAAGGCTGAGGTGTATGGAAGCTCCCATCCCTTTCTGGGTCTTAATGATGACAAGGCCAAATATTTGAGAATATGTACTTGCAGAAACAGACCTCAAGAAAGGAAGGAAAGAGCCCTGCAATGGGTTAAAAACTGAAGACGAATAAGCTATGCAATATATGTTAGAGTATTTTGTTTCATGGTCCTACTCATAGTACTTGTTGCCATTTTGTTACATTCTAACCTTCAGTAAAGCTTAATTGGGCATCAATTCTGCCTCAGTTGAACTAAATGGTATGCAAGGAAGAACTATATGTCCATATATGGGACAAAGCACTGAAAGCAGGGCATTAGTTTTTGCCTTTCGAGGTCAGCAGGTGATACAGTCAAAATAATCCCTGAGGAGAGTGTTTCAAGCTAGTAGTTGGGACTGTAAGGTCAACCTCCCCTATCAAGAAGAGATGCTCTCTCATTGACTACTTTGAAACATCTGGGTTTTATTTAATTAAGGAAGGCATAAATGTATCACGCCAATTATATGAAAGCATAAAATAAGACATCTAAAGTAAAGAAAAAGATTAACATCCCAAATAAGAAAAGCAACAATGCTCAATTTCTTTTAATCTAAAAATCTATTAAGACTTCCCACCACACTTTCAGACTTGGGAAGAGATGGCAGTGAGCTAGTTAAGGGCAGAAGAAACAAGACATAGATACATTGATAGAAGTATAGATACAATGATAGAAGGGGGCTTCACGGATTTTTGCTGGCAGGCAGGAAATCATAAGGTAGTTCCACTAAAGCTTAAACTTTGTGGCTTTTGGAAGATGCATCACCCTTGTTACTTAGAAGCATGCCCAGCACATAGTAGGCCAAAATGTGAGGTTGGGGCTATTTATATTCTTACCTCAGATTAGAATTGGGCCTAAAAAAGAGGCATAGAAAGATTCTGAAGGTGGTACTCATGTGATCCAGCTGCTGAGATGCGGCAGAAGGAAAGCAGAGACCTCTAACCCAACTTGTTGAAAAGCAGCTGAAATTACTGCATTCAGTTTATAAACAATAATAGTCCAATGATAAATTTTAAAAATCTCTGTGAGACTAAGAATGCTGCCCATTTGCTCCTCTGGAACAGTAGCAAGTACAGTGAAGGGCTAGCACCACAGCTTTATGGAAGGAATTGCCTTTACTTTCCATTTCCAAACCTCATATTTTGTTTTCATTGAGTCAATTATTAATACATTTCTTAAAAATTTCCATGCTTTTAAAGAGAGCTATTTTCCTCCTTAATTTTTTATACCAGCTGGAGATTGACCCATACAATACTACTGGTAGGTGGATGAACATTTGTCTTTCTTAACTTTTAATATTATCAAAAAGTAAAACTTGTAAAGAAACATTTCATTCTGAAACCAATGTTAGTGCTGCAAAAATAATTTTTGGAACAATATCTTATGATACAGAAGATCTATGTCATCCAAGGAGCCTCACTGCAAACAATACAAATGGACTCTGCCTGATATGGGCAGAAAAAGGATTTATTGAAAGGCTATTGGTTAGCCTGCACTGTCCAGGACAGCAAACAGGCCCAGAGGTTGTGCACCCAGAGATACAACCAAAATCATATCACAAAGCTGGTCCTATGTGGACGTTGCTGCTGCTGCCACTTAGCATCAGATATCACAGCTGGCCCAATTGGCATTATGTGTTGGATACTACTGTAGATGTGGCTGGCCATGCTATCTTTAGAAACTAGACATTGCTGCTACAGTCACAAGCAGAAATGTTCCCTTCTCTCTTCATGTTTGCAAAATTAGCCCCCAATTTCAAAGTCCATAGGTTTGAATCTAGAGTATATACCCATGTTGCATGGAGGACTGGAAAGTAAGTATCTAGCATTTTGGGCTTCTGGGGTGAATGGTGAGGTGTGACTTCCAGCAAGACTCAAAAGGAAGTGAGGAATTTCCCAAACAGAAGGAGGGGAAAAAAACCCATAAAAACAGTGACCACTACAGTCCACACCTTTGAATGCCTAACTACATATATTCTCTTCTTTATTTATCTTTACTTATGTGTCTACCTAATACGATGCAGATATATCCAAAACAGCAAAAAACACATTCAACTCCTCTCCCAAGAGAAACCAAAATGTAATCAGTTACTGCATCCAGCTTCAAGTCCAGAACTTCTGGGTAATGATGTTCATTCATCTCCCAGTTCAATCATAATCCCATCTTGATATAAACTATGGATTACATTGTTCAAATTCATTACCACCACTTAATATAAAATAATGATGAGAAAGAAAAAATAAAAGGAAAATTAGTTAAAATATAAATATGTATCATATTTTACCAATTTAAAATACATTTTTCCAATAATTTACCATGTCTGAAATCAACCAATGGCATCTTATAATTGCTATCAACTGGGTGGCAATTGTGATGTAATTCTCCTTGCCTTAGTATTACCTTAACTGATTTTTTAGAAAAATTTTAGTGTTTGCAGAAGAGTGACATGTGATGGAAATTTGTGTCTAAAACCCCTACAATCTCTCTCTCGAGGTATAAAGTAAAAATTCTAAGTGAAAGCAAGCAGCATCACATCATAGTTCAGTGGGAAGTGTTTTTCTTTCATAGAAATAAAGGTACATAAATATGCCTTGGAGAGTCAATGAAATACAGTACATGATACAGAAAAAAAAGTGGGGGCAGATACTACAATATACGTTTCTGCAATTGATTACAAATTGGCAGTTGCCATATAGCAACAAATTCCTTATTTCACCAGCCATCCCATGTTCCCTTTCCCTCCAGTCCACATCTCGGATTGTCAGTATTCTTTCCCTGGTAGAGTGACCTAGACTTTTATTACTAAGGGATCAGAGCCAAAAGGTGGTCTTGTTTATGTAAGGTTGTTGCAATCTTTCATTAAATTTTTATTGTAGACATGGCAGTGTGGAAGTTACCCCAGAGACCCTCTTTGTTCCACCCATACTCTTTCCTTCTAATCATTAGAAGCAACACCATTTACTCTCTATAGACGTGATCAATCATTTAATCCAATAGCATAAACCATTTTATCCTGCTTACCAAGTTATTAGAAGATATAAGCATGGTCAAATGGCAATCTCAGCTTCTTATTCAATGGAATACTGTTTCTCCCCTGGTGGATGCATCTTCTTTTTGAGGTACTAAAACCTCTAAACGAGCAAGGTTCAGAATTACAGAAATGAGAAGTAAATAATTTGCAAATGGATCATTAGAAGTAACAATGAGTCACCAACTCCTACTTCCACAGCTTGGTTTTTAGGGTGTATTGTGGCTATGAGGGAAAAAGAGCAACATTTTTTGGTTGATATTTCAGAGCAGTGGCTCTCAAACTTTAACATGCACCAATACTTTTTTAGAGGGTCTGTTTAAACATCAGTTGCTGTGCCCACTCCAAGACTTCCCAATTCAGTAGTTCTAGGATGAAACTAGATTATTTGCATTTCTCACAAGTACCCAAGTGATGCTGATGTTGCTGGTCTTGGGATCACCTTTTGAGAACTACTGGTTCAGAGAATATAACACATTCTACAGGACAGTGCCACAATTTTGCATTTTGTCTTATAGCTGTTCGTCTATTTCTAGTTAATAAACATATGGTAAGCCATAAACATAAGCTCTACTGCTTATTTAATTAAAAATGGCTGTCCAGATAAAAAGTAATGTGTACAAGATACCATGATGGTATGTAAGTAAGATGCCTTTATAATTTGTCATCTGAACTGGGGTGCTTTTGAGGGTGATGAGGGCTACTAATTACACCAGGACAACAGCAACAAACTGGAACTGACTTGGGTGAACCAGATATGATCCCCCTTTGTAAGAGGTATTTAGTATATACAGGATGGTTGTACTAGCAAGTGTCAGACACAAATGTTAGGAGGCGGGGCATGGTGGTTCACGCCTGTAATCCCAGCACTTTGGGAGGCCGAGACAGGCGGATCACCTGAGGTCACGAGTTCGAGACCAGCCTAGCCAACATGGTGAAAACCTGTCTCTACTAAAAATACAAAAATTAGCCTGATGTGGTGGCACATGCCTGTAATTCCAGCTACTCGGGAGGCTGAGGCAGGAGAATTGCTTAAACCCAGGAGGTTGCAGTGAGCTGAGATCACACCACTGCACTCCAGCCTGGGTGACAGAGCGAGACTCTGTCTCAAAAAAAAAGAAAAAGAAAAAGAAAAAGAAAAAGAAATGTTAGACAGGAAAATAAATCCAAATCCAGAATAAGTAATAGTACAGTAAGGATGAATTTCTATCTCTTCTGTGATGATAGACAGCCAATAAATTAACCTGCCTCCCTGTGGCTGAATGTCCTCCTGGGATATGATATCATGTCAGAGGTTCAAGATTTATTTCTGCTGCTAGCAAGTTGGGCAATCAGCAGTGACAGCCAGCATTGGTGATGAAAGGTCCATATTGTTGAGCTTGTGCATACTCTGCATCCAAGTTGCTGTAGACACTTTGTTCATGAGCCCGTTGAGTGAGCCCCAGGATCAATGGGGAAGAAGAATGACTAACATTTGCAGAGTGGATTATTTTGTCCACTGGTTTACTAAACCTCCACAGAGTTTTTTGTTGTTGTTGTTGTTGTTGTTAGCAGTTAAGATATTTTTGACTTCAAAAAAATAAAAACCTTGGACAGTTGATATAAACCATTAAGAATTTATTACTTCACATGTTAAAACGTTCTAAGATAGGGTGGTGCAAGAGGTAGTTGATTAGATAGCTCAACAATTTTATTAAGGATCCAGGTCCTTCCCATCTTTTTGCTTTGCCATCCTGAGCATATTACCTTAGCTTCTTTCATAGTCATAAGAAGACTAAGGTACTTCAGGAGAGACATCTTCACACTAACATCTAAAGGCAGAAAAGGGGACTATTTATTGTTTGCATTTTAATAGATAAAGAAACTCCCATTGAACTAACCCCACAGCAGACTCCCTTCAATTTCTCATTGGCTAAAATGGGGTTGTATGGCCCTTTTTGAGGCTCACGAGGGAAACAGAATCACCATGATCACTTAGATTCACTGATTCACCTGCAAGCGTAGAGGTGTGGTCAGCCTTCTCTGGAGCATAAAGTCACATGGAGGAGCTTGGACACCTGTACAAATCTGAAGTTTTGTTCACAAAGAAGGGGTATAGCTATTGGATTGACAACCAATGTTGTCACACTTATATGAATCCCAAATGTCTTCGTATGATAGTCCCATTTTGAGACCCATCCAGACACTTGTCACCAGTCCTCTGGTCTTTATCTTTCCACTTCCATGAAAATCTGACCAAACTATTTGTTACTGTCCATCAGCATTTCTCTCTTGCTGGAAAAATCAAGGACGATATACCACTCAAGCTCTGCATACTAGGATAATTTTCCTTCTCCACCTTCACTTTGGTGGGACTGAGTGGAACTGAGTAGCACTTCAGTAATCTATTTTGTACATTTACTTTTAGTGATGCCAGCTTACTCTCAGAGCTATATGTAAACTATGCTAGTTTTCTTCAGTTAACTGGTAATGGAGAACTATTCATGAAGTCATGATGGTTGGCAGAGAGGTGGCGGTGTGGCATGAGGATGAATGCCAGGAAGAAGAGCCATCAGTATATGAAACTTGAGCTCTCAGGACATGCTCAGATGCACTCACATATATACTATTTCCACTCGAATATGTCTGACTTTATAGCTGTGTAGATCAGATAACATTCACTTCATGATAGGCAGCTTGTGTTTCACAGTCATCTGGTTTCTATCTGGGCCCAGTATTAAGCCAAGTGCTATTCCTTCAAAGAAGAATGAATGGCTACTCACTGAAGAAGTTATAGCTTTGCTCTAGAACCCTGACGTTCCTGCTGCGAACTTCGTATTCACTCTTTCTGCAGACTCATTTGATTTTTGAGTACCACTGGTCCCACTGGGTCCTAAGGGCCATATAAAAAAAGCTGCAGCCTGGACCAGCTGGAGCATTCCTCTGGGCCCTACTCAAAGCTGTTAGCCTTTCAGATCACTCAAGAAAAGGAGCTGAAGGGCACACAAAATGAGACATATGTTGCTTCTAAAATCCAGAGACCACCATCCCACATAGTACTTTTTCCTAGAGGTGGGAAATAAATTGTCCTTGACACTGAAAGTATAAACTCACATGTCATGCAACACTGGATCCCAAGAAACATCATTGAATTATCATGAGATTTATTTCTACTTTCTGGCATGCATGGTCTTAATCTAAAATACTAGCCACTTGCTGTTCTCCAGAGTCATCAGAATGTTATCTTCAGCATATCCCTGGATGATGAGATGACCAGGTTCCTTTAGAGCAACTTATGGCACAGAGAATGGAGAAGTAACATAACTCTGAGTTGAAAATATAGTTCTGCTGTTTTAGGTAAAGTCAAACTACTTCTGATGTGCTTTCTGTGTTTGCTGAAGCAGAAAAAAAAAAAAAGGATTGTCCAGATGAACGCTGCAATCAATATCCCATAGTATGTCTTGATTCACTGTGATAAGGATACTACATTTGAAAGATCATATGTACTTGAAAGACAAGTTTCCACTTGACTTAGCCTACAGTTATCCCCTAGAATTATCTAAGACTGATCCATCTTTTGCACTGGCCAGCAGTTGAAGAATTAAGTGGGGATGTGATAGGAAGCACAGTGACCTTCAGCTCTATGATTTCCCCAGGAATGTAGTGCAAAAAAATTACAATAATTTTTTCAATGAAGTATAACAGAATATTTTTTGATTTACTATTTTGACAGTGACGGTAACCCCTGAGCTTTCACAAAGTCATTCTTAACCATGATAACTGTGTTAAACTCTATTCTATAGGTCAGAGGGTCAGTGTCAGAATTCTGCCATTTACTGAGGTTATTTTTACTAATAATATGCCCGGAAACTGAAAATAATCCTAGCGAGGGTTCAGGGGCTTATTAGAATGCATTTGTGTTCAGCGCAGTGGACCACTCTAAGTATTTTAAATACAAAGAGTCTTAAGACAGAGAATTAAGTGCTTATAAAATCATTGGAAAGACTGGGGAGGCAAGTATCAGAAGGGCACCATGGGCCAGGTGCAGTGGCTCATGCCTATAATCCCAGCACTTTGGGAGGCTGAGGTGGGAGGATCACTTTAGCCCAGGAGTTTGAGATCAGCCTGGGCAACATAGCAAGACCCCCATCTCTATAAAAAAATTAAGCAATTAGCCGAGCATGGTGGCACGTCCCTGAAATTCCAGCTACTCAGGAGCCTGAGGTGGGAGGATCACTTGAGCCCAGGAGGTCAAGGCTGTAGTGAGCCGTGATCACACCACTGCATGTCAGCCTGGATGACAGAGCAAGACCTTGTCTCAAAAAAAAAAAAAAGACCCTACCAGAACGACTGAGTTAACGAACACAACACCAAAGCTACAGCCACTAATCCTGGAGTATTTTCCATTATTCAACTGAATTAGGCCCCTGGTGGGCTGCTCATCTGTTTTTATCTTTGTAACTCCATTATATGTAAAAGATTTCTGGAGATGTTTGAAGGATGTATCATTTTGAATGCCATACCAGCTCTAGTGCTATTATTATTATTATTACTACTATTATTATTATTATTTTTGAGACAGAGTCTCACTCTGTCATGCAGGCTGGAGGAGTGCAATGGCATGATCTCGGCCCAGTGCAACCTCCGCCTCCTGGGTTCAAGTGATTCTTCTGCCTCAGCCTCCCGAGTAGCGGGGACTACAGGCACGCACCACCACGCCCAGCTAATTTTTGCATTTTTAGTAGAGACAGGGTTTCATCATGTTGGCCACGCTGGTCTTGAACTCTTGACCTCAAGTGATCTGCCCGCCTCAGCCTCCCAAAGTGCTGGGATTACAGGCGTGAGCCACCATACCCGGCCTCTACTGCTATTATTATAGGAGCATGCCCACCTTAACTTTGCCAGTTAGGTGCCACTACTTGTCCTTTTCCATCAGTGTCACTGTTGAAATCAGGAGCCCTTTTCAACCACAGAGTATTCTCTTTTTACCCCAGCACATGAAAACCACCAAAATGCCTTTTAAGATACCTATGCAATTCTTGAGCCCCTGGTATAAAAAAGGTTTTCTGTGCATTTCTTCCTCCTTCTAGAGGAAGGAGACTGTTAGGGAATAAGCGTGTAGTTCACATGTGATAATCTACCCCAATATTCTCATCTCCATAACCTGTTGGCTTCCTTCACCTGTATTCTTACAAAAATGTCTAGCATTTCCTGTTCATTTGGAATGAAATACTACTGAGCACAGCTCAAGAGAGCAAATAATTTACACAACTTGCAGCTGCTTAAGCCAGCACCTTAAATCCAGAATCTCCAATAAGTGTATCCCTATTGCTGAATTCTGTGTGATCTATAGTTATGCTCTTCCTTTCTTGGTCTAGTACTCTCAATCCATTTCCACACATATTCTCCATATTATGCCAGCATACCTTAGCACTCTTTCAATTCCTTTGGTGAGAACATCTTCTGCTCTTGAATTTGGCTTTGCAGTTGAACTCCTGAGGCATATGGGATCTGAATCTACACGCAGTTCTGGTGATCTTGAGAGACAGTGGGAGTGGGATGTGAGGAGAAGTGACTTGCCTTGCGAAACTGTTCCCTAGACTTTCTCAAGTGAGAGTACTGAGAACCCCTGACAGTAACAGCATCATCAGACAGGAAGGCTCATTGGGCTAAAAATGGTAAAACCTGTGTGAAATTGGCCTCAAGAGTCTGCATGTTTATTATGTAACATAGTAAGGATTCTGAGGCAAGGTGGGCTTCAGCAGTGCTACATGCAGGTTCTGGCCCTGTTTTTCTTCAGTTCTCTTGTTCTGCTCTCTGGGAATTAGCTTTGTCCTCAGGAGGGAATCCCTCTTGGTTGTTAGGGTGGCCACCAGAGCATAACGCTTCCTATGTACATTCTGTAGGAGAGACATAATCCCAAAGCCACAGGATACAAGTCCTCCCATTCAGAGTGATTTGCCATTTCTACATTGTTAAGAGCCACCATGGAAACGGCATTCATTGGACAGCTTTCGAGGATGGGTTCCTGCGCTTATACACTGTTGGTTGGAAGGTAAATTAGTTCAGCCACTGTGGAAAGGAGTTTGGAGATTTCTCAAAGAACTTAGAGCTACTATTCGACCTAGTAATCCCATTACAGGGTATATATCCGAAATAAATCATTCTGCCAAAAAAACACATGCACTCATATGTTCACCACAGCACTATTCACAATAGCAAAGACATGAAATCAACCTAGATGTCCATTAACAGTGGACTGGATAAAGAAAATGTGGTACATATACACCACGGAGTACTACACAGCCATAAAAAAGAACAAGTTCGTGTCCTTTGCAGCAACATGGATGCAGTTTATGGTCATTATCCTAAGCAAATTAATGTAGGAACAGAAAACCAAATACCACATATTCTCACTTATAAGTGGAAGTGAAACATTGAGTATTCATGGACATAAAGATGGCAATGATAGAAACTGAAAACTACTAGAAGGGAGAGGGAGAGAGAAAGGCAAGGGTTGAAAAACTGTTGGGTGCTATGTTCAGTACCTGGGTGATGGGATCAATTATACCCCAAACCTCAGCATCATGCAATATACCCAGATAAAAAACCTGCACACATACCCCCAAATCTAAAATTAAAGTTGGAAAAAAAACAAAGAAGATTGGGTTCCTGAACCAGTCACCAGCAAGGGAGAAGAAATTCACATGATGGTTCATTCTAATAACATTTACTCCTATACATAAGGATAGGTCAAATGCCTGAATAAAATTGGGGTTTCTATTAGGAAGGAGGAAGAGAAAAGGTCCATATGATGGAACATCTATTGAAGCTAAAAATGTTCTCTCTCATCCAGTAGGCAGAGAAGAATAACAGTAATATAGCATTTTAGGGCTAATGCTCAATCTTGGAAATACATGCATTAATATTTTGCTTTATATTTACTCTCCGTAGATAGCTCCACTTTGGAATAGTAGGGCTTTTACTTTATGGTGGAAATTCTATTCTTTTTTTTTTTTAATCATTCACTATGACTAATTGGATGTATATCTACAAAATGACTACCTGTTATTTACCTAAATTTTAAAAATTTTGGCTGGACACAGTGGCTCACGCCTATAATCCCAGCACTTTGGGAGGCTGAGGTGGGAGGATTGCTTGAGCCCAGGAGTTCAAGACCAGCCTTGGCAACATAGGGAGACCCCATCTCTACAAAATATATTTTAAATTAGCCAGGCGTGGTGATATGCACCTGTGGTCCCAGCTACTCAGAAAATTGAGGTGAGAGGATCCCTTGAGTCTGGGAGGTCAAGGATGCAATGAGCTGTGATTGCACCACTGCACTCCAGCTTGGGTAACAGAGGGAGACCCCATCTCAAAAAGAAAAACAATTAATTGCAATTTCAGTTACAAACTAGTTGAAATGAAATAAGTGGGAGAAAAAAGTAGTGTGTGCATTTCTTTATATAGACCTTTTGATAAAACCTACACTTTCTAAAACAAGTTAACATTTTCCAAGTCTGGTGAATTTAAAATGGTTACAAAATTGTTTACAACTTTTTTCATCAAGAGCTGGAGTTGGCCAGGCACGGCGGCTCACGCCTGTAATCCTAGCACTTTGGGAGTCTGAGGCAGGCGGATCACGAAGTCAGGAGATTTAGACTACCGTGGCTAACATGGTGAAACCCCGTCACTACTAAAAATACAAAAAATAAGCCGGGCTTGGTGGCGGGCGCCTGTAGTCCCAGCTACTCGGGAGGCTGAGGCAGGAGAATGGCATGAACCTGGGAGGCGGAGCTTGCAGTGAGCCGAGATGGCTCCATTGCACTCCAGCCTGGGCGACAAAGAGAGACTCTGTCTCAAAAAAAAAAAAAAAAAAAAGAGCTAGAGTTCATTTTACCACCCCTTAAATTCAAGCTGTCCTTATAACTTGCTTTGACCAATAGAATGCTGCAGAAGTGACGATTTGTGACTTCTGAATAAGACCTCAAGAGAACCTAGCAAAACAAATAAATCAGTCTTTTGGTGGGGGGGATTACTATTTCTGTAGTTCTTTCTTTATTTTATTTATTTGTTTGTTTGCTTATTTTTTCTTTCTTTTTGTCTTTTTTGAGCAAATAAATCGTTATTTTAAGCCACTAAGTTTTGAGGTAGTCTTTATGCAGTAATAAATAACTGATATACCAACCCTTTCATAAGGATTCATGTTCTATCATTTTACTGGGATTTGAAGTGTGTTGTTATTCAACCATACTTAATTAGAAATCAAACATTATAGATAAAAGCTTTTTGAACTCTTAGCCTCAAGTGAGCCTCCCACCCAGCCTCCCAAAGTGCTGGAACTACAGGCATAGGCCACCGTGCCCCACCAGATAACTTTTTCAAAGAGGAATAACTTAAAAACTCAGTCCTATTTTATATGCAGAAAAACAAAAATAGCATATAATCTCTATGGGAGTGAAATATAAGTATGTAACTTCACGCATCCCTGTAAAATATAATGCGATGGCTCAGAGCAGGGACTGGGAAAATGCTATTCCTCTCCTGTTTACTGCAAACGCTTTATGAGCCCCTACCATATGCTCTTGTATTATATCTGGTAGGTACTTTTGGGTGAGGGTTGTGTGGGGAAATGAAAGTGAAGTTGGGGAGGTGAAAGCTCCATTAATAAAATAAAATCCTTAACCAATTAAAATTTTAAAAATATATTTAATGTTATCTGTATCTCATTATTAATATGTACATCATATTCTAATGACCCATGTATTATTAGATAATACATGTATATAATTCATGAATAAAAATGTATCTCTGTTGAGCAAATGCTCAAAAATTTTTTATACGCATATGTGAATGATCAAAAAATATAGAGGATGGGCTAGGAAACATGGTAGCCCTTTTAAGAGACAAATATAGAAGCAAACTATACCTGCCATGTAATATAAATAAGCACACACATGCCTACCAGATATCATGTAACTGGCATGACAAAGTCACTGGGAAAAGGCATACCTATCTGTAATTATTGACCTACTCTGGGCTATGACATTATACCAAACTCTTTGGAGGAATCAAAGATGAAATTAGAAGTTTTCTTGACTAACATCCAATTCTTTTGGAATTTCCCTTTGGGGGCATGTTATTTTAGGGTCATTCTAAGGGTTCATGCCTATAATAAAATGTTATAAAAATATCCCTGGAGCTACCCTGCCCACTGGCTCATTTTCTGAGTGGACTCAACAGACTGGTGGCCTGGGGTTTGTTCTGGGCCCCTTGCCTCAGGTGCACCCTGGTGTGACCTCACACACCACAAAACAGCCTAGTGTTCTGTTTTGTTTTGCTTTTTTGTTTTGAGACAAAGTCTTGCACTGTCGCCCAGGTTGGAGTGCAGTGGCTTGATCTCTGCTCACTGCATCCTCCGCCTCCTGGGTTTTCAAGTGATTGTCCTGCCTCAGCCTTCCGAGTAGCTGGGATTGCAGGCACCCGCCACCATGCCCGGCTAATTTTTGTATTTTTAGTAGAGACAGGGTTTCACCACGTTGGCCAGGCTGGTCTCAAACTCCTGACTTCAAGTGATCCTCCTGCCTCGGCCTCCCACAGTGCTGGGATTACAGGCTTGAGCCACCACGCCTGGCCAAAAGAGCCTAGTTTTAAGCTAAGAGTTCATGGCGCTGGGGCATTTTATTCCTCCATTTGCCTAGCAGCTTCCACTGCAGATGTTTTCTTACCCTTCTGGCTATTTTCACCTTTCTTTCAGTGGCTTTTTTTTCCATTTTTAAAAATTCACAGGCTTCCTGTTTCTAAGTATTTACCACATTTCTGTTCATGCTTTTTCCCTGACTTTTATTTTTCACCCCTTCTTAGCCCTCTCTCCCAACCACATCTGTTTTACTCCCTTTCATTTTTTCCCCATTCCTTTATTCCCTGCTGTCCTGTTTTTCTTTGTTCAATTCAGAACATCAGCCGGAAGCTTCCCTGTTGCTAAGTAACCACATCACCCACACACACCCTTTTCCATTTTCAACTTATTTCTTCTGTTTTAATAAACTCATGGGGCCGAACAGTCTCTAAAAGAAAACGAGAGGTGCTGCTGTCTTCTCTTCATGCAGCAGAGATGCATACCCTCTCATATCCTGCCTTTTCTTATTAGATTTTGGCTTCTTGTTTTATTGATAATTTGCCCCAGACTGTGAGATAACACTAAATAAGCACAAAATATCTTTTTGGGCTTGGACAATTTGCAGAAGGGAGGAAGAGATATAATTTCTGCAGAAGGAACAATGAAAATGTTTAAAATATAGTTACAAGGCATGGCATGGGCTCATTGAAGGGTGTTTGCCTTGACCCCGGAACCAAATCCAGCCCTCCCTAGTAAAAGGTTTCCATTAGGGATCAAGTTAGCTAGCAAGTCCCTCTTAACATTGTTGAGTTGTGAGGAAGCTACTAATGGCATGGTAAGTGTGATTTGCACAAAATGAAGGATAAAACAATACAAGAAATCATTATGTGGTTTTCCAAATCTCAATCCTTTTCCAGACATCAATCTGACATGGCACTTGTGCCAAAGGCATAATTGGAGGTGTGTGAGCCCTTCTCACAATATGCTCTTGAGGGATTCCAAGTCTTCTGGCACATTTTAATAATTTAATGGGAATGGTAACTCCATATGTCCAAACACTAGGGCAGAGTAACAGAGATACCAGGAGATTTGAAAAAAAATCTTTTCACCCTTGCAATACCATAAATAATTTCCTTGCCTGGTGTGAATTCTTTCTCTGACCTCTTGCATTTATGCAATGCCTGGGAGGCCTTTCCTGCTAAGCCCGCCCCCACATTGTTGCTCTCAGCTTTTTGCCCACAGTGAGCACTGTGCTAATTGGGTAGATTTGGGAGCTGCTTCTTAAGAAGTATCACGGCCGTCTATGTAGGTGTGTGTCCCAGCTCCTCTGGTAGTGCTCTGTGCTCTCTGTCAGGGAAGGGCTCGTATCCAGCATGTAATGAATACTCAATAAGTTGCCTTAAATTTAACCACAGAACACAGACACTCTGACAAGGGGATTATTTTTAGTTTCATTTTCTAGATAGAAGAACAGTGGTTTTCTTCATATTGAAGTCTAAGTTCATCAATCAAAGTGCCAGAAATGAAGCTGATGCATTTCCATCACTATCCTGAAATGCAGATGGAGCATTTCAGTAGAGGGAAATTTCAAAAGCTTTATTTGTCAAGACCTGTTGATATTCTGAAAGCAGAAACCCTGTAAGACTAAAACCTACTCTAAGGTATTCTAAGAATGCCTAGCCAGAACTGGAATTGGCAAGCTTTTTCTTTCTAGAATCTAGCCCCTTTGAGATGTTAGGTCTTCTGAGAGTTTCAGAAAGTTTTAACATAATTTCAACTTTTATCTTAGGGTAACCTCAACTGATGAAACATACATTTGAACCTCCTGGAATTTTTATTTTATGTGCCACTTACTTTAAATTATACAAAACCTTCACTGTCTTCCAGTATTCACTTCTCTTTTAACTTTCTTTTCTCAACTTGAGATATCAGGAAACGCCACCATGTCATATTTTCTTTTCTTACATTTTTGAACATCTAATTCCTTTTTTCCTTTCCGTCCTCCTCATCAATGTGGTCTAGTCTTATAGGGAACTTTTCTCTCCAATCACAATCCCCTCCTCTTCCACTTCTCGCTTAGCTACTCTTCCCACACCCCAAAAAGACTCTCGCTTTGTGATTCCAGTCCTGGAATTCTTTCCCTATTAGTGTCCTCTTCACTTCACTGCTTCCCTACCCCATGGAGCTCTCATGAGCCATCCCTTTAACCATTCTCTTCAGTATCTCAGTTCCCTTGCCCCTCATTGGCCTGGCAAATCCCCAAACTTCAATGAGTTCATCTTCATATCTCCCTGTCTGAGCCCAGGCTATCTCTCCTGGAGAGAGATCACAACTCTGCCATGGATGCCATTCCAACTCTGTGACCCCAAGTACTGGTCCCTCCAGGCTGGTCCCAGCAGT